>NC_000012.12:67763158-67914673 GCF_000001405.40 Homo sapiens
GCCAAAAAGTTTGGTGACTGCTGTCCTGTATAACCTGGTGGGTCAGTTCATGTACCTAGGTTGGCTGTAGGAGCTATTTACTTTCCTGGATATAATCAGAGAGAAAGACACTTACTAGCTGCTGACCCAGAGGGAGAAGAAAGGAGCATTTCTACCTGGGATTCTGTGATACAGGTTAACTTCTGAAACGACTCAGTTCCTGATGATGCAGAATTTTCAAACTTTAAGAGGCTAAACTTGGAAGAGCCTCTTGAGTGGCTAAGATGATATGCAGGTGCGCCACAGTTTTCTGGGTGTCTACATGGTCATCGCATTGGTGATAAAGCTATGGTTATTAATAATTAGAGCACAATTTAGAAATTGTTGACATTAAACCTGGAATTCAGATCACATTCCTTCTCTGCTAAAATCTCTTCCATGCCTTCCCACTGAAATTAGAATTAAAATGTCAACTTTTTTGTGGCCTTGTCTGGTCTCTCCCTACTGACCAACCTTATCTCTCTCCTCCTTCCCCTTGTTTTGCCAAAGACTCAAGCCCTGCACTGATATTGCTTCTGGTCCTAATCCTAAACTGGCTCTTATGTCAGGACCTTTGTACTTCCAGGCCTGTCTTAACTCAAAATGTACTATTCTCAGAGAGGTCTTTCTCTTCAGACTGTACTTTCTAAAATAATGCCCCTGTGGCAGGTATTCTCTTACTCATCATATCACCCTATTTATTCCCTTCATAGTAATGATGAAAATCAGTATTTATTTTTACTTTTTATTTATCTGTTTCCTCCACTAAGAGCTCCAATGAGTAGGAACTCTTTAGTCATTACATTATCTCTATCAGCTAACAATAAAGAACGACATGGAGCAGAACTCAAAATATAATTGTTGAATGAAGTAAAGAAACCTTATTTGTTAATATTAATTTTTAATATAAACCATTTACAAATATGAACATGCTAGGTTCATGGTCCACATTTTTTAAAGGATCTGGTACTCCTGACATGCAAAGCTCCAAAGCAGTACCAACCTTCGCTATAGATATGTTCCCCAACCCTGTATGGGGTAGGGAAGGCTGGCTAAAGTTCGGTTGTAGCTTTGAGGTTATGATTTAGTGACATTAACTGTAACCACCGAAAGAACTTGAGGGAAGTATCTCTTAACCTCTTTTTAAATTTTTCATTTGAGCTACAAATATGGGTATTGAAAGAAGTTTTGACAAAGCTTTTTTTTTATCTATGCTTTATTGAAAATAAATAGTCTTTTTAAAAATGTTTTATTTTTTAAGAGACAGAGTCTCACACAGTCACCCAGGCTGGAGTGTGATGGTACAAAATCATAGATCACTGCAAACTTGAACTCCTGGACTCAAGGGATCCTCCTGCCTAGGTCTCCCAAAGTGCTAGGATTACAGGAGTAAGCCACCACGTCCAGCCTGAAGTAATGCTGTTAACTGCCTCTTGGTGTTTGTTTTCTGCCAATTGCATGCCATTTTTTCCTTTTGTAATAGTGTCTATTAGATAGTACAAGACGAGATCTATTAATTTCTATGCTTTTCTTCCTTCCTCATATTTCCTGATACTCTTTGTAGTTGCTAGAGGCTTCCACATTGATACAAGAAGAATTGGGATTGCTGTATCTAAAACTATAAGGGAAATAAATGGCTAATTACAGGTTTGTTTCTTTATTTACTTGTAGGGTCCATTCGGATTAAAAGTAAAGGCTTTGAGAGGAACTAAGTGTCCCACTTGTGAATTTATGCAACAACAAAGGTGAAGAAGAAAACCGTGTGTGTTATGGGGGAGGGGGGAAGTAGGGTAGAAGATCTTGCCCACCCTACCTCTTGGAAAACAGAAAGACTTAGGTGGGAGGTGCCCTTGAAGGGCCAGATCTGGGTTACTAGGAGGGGAGAAAAGAATGCAGAGGTGACAGAGCATGGCCAGTGGCCAAGAGCCACATGGAAGCCAAGCCAAAGCTGCAGGTGGCCGTCTTTCTTTCTTTTTTCATTACCCAAGCAAAGAGACTTTGAGGCAGTTCTCACCTGTGCCAGGACGGAGGCTTTCTTCCACAGCTGCCTGGGGTTCAGCCCTCAGCAGAAGAACACCTGTCTGCAACCTGAGACTCCGCAGAGCTCCCATCTACCTGTCCCGCTCAAAAACCACCCTGGTTTTTGAGTGGGACAAAAGGTGGGGTCCTTGGCCACCCAAGAGAGGCAGTAGTAAGTGGAACAGACACAAACCTGGGCGGGGCTGGATAGCAGAGAAATTCACTGCATGTGCCCAACCATTTTTCATTAGGAATAGGATGATATCCAGCAGTTTAGGTCATGCTTTTTGTTACAAATAAGCCCTACCACTGCCACTTCTAATTTAGAATTACCTCTAATGTGCTTCTTGGGATTCTGGCCTTGATAAAAATGTAGAAAACCATTTTTCTAACACAGGACTTCAGAAGGCAAATAATCACAGCCTTGTTGGCCTGCAGTGAGGAGTGGGACCAGACCCACCTTCAAGAGCACCCACATTTGAACCCTTGAGGGAATAAATACTTGATGCTCTTTACAAAAATCCTTACCCTTTCCATCTTCCATTCATATAACCCCTCTACCAAATTATGGACACCCGTGAAACGCTGAGAAGCAGCAGCAAAAATCTGTGCACTGAGCAACAGTATCTTGAAACTTAACTTCATTTTATTATACATCACTCTGTCTCAGAAAGGAACTCACCAGTTCTAACAGTCCTCTTATTGGGAAGCCGGCACAGAGATTTCTCTTTTCTCCAGAGGAAGGAAGAGGATTTTAGTATTTCACTCTAACACTTGAGTGAGTTATTAGGGAAATTCATTGCCTAACTGCTGGCTGCTGCTTCCTTATTATTTCTTCCAGAACCTTTAGCCTCTGATCAGCACTCTGAAATATAGACTGGTCCTGAAACTGCCTTTGCAAAAATTATAACTGAGACAATAATTACAGTGACAAAGATCTGACCTAACCGACTCCATCTTGCTTCTAACCTCTGAGCTGTCCTTGTTCATACCTGGGTGTAGGCTGAACTAACTTTGGGAGTAGCTTAGTTTATAGTTTAGCGTGGAAACAAAGACAATCACAACCCTTTCTCAAAACAAACCCCCTTCCTGCCTGGGGACTAGACTGCCTTTTTAGGACTAACAAATTAGCTACAAGATTAGAAATTATGATTTAGGAGTCATGTAGCTGGAGGCTGCAAGATTCTCAACCTCCCAAATTGCTCCTAGGGATAGCATCACTATTGTAAAACCTAAGAACAGTGCTTGAGATATTTTGCAGAACCTGCACTCGATGGATCAGCTGGCACCACCTAGATCTATAAACTAGCTCATCTGGTCTTGTGGACTCCAACCAGGAACTGACTCAGAGCAAGAGGACAGCTTCGACTTCCTATGATTTCATCTCTGACCTGATGAATCAGCAATCCCCACTTTCTGACCCCCTACCTACTAAATTATCCTGATTTGAGGAATGATAAAACTCCTGTCTCCCATACAGCTGGCTCTGCATGAATTAAAGTCTTTCTCTGTTGCAATTCCCCTATCTTGATAAATCAGCTCCATCTAGGCAGCAGGCAAGGTTACCCCGTTGGGAGTTTACAGTCCCTGTCCTTGGGGTGGTGGGGTTGTCATGCGCGTCCGTGTGAAGAGACCACCAAACAGGCTTTGTGTGAGCAACATGGCTGTTTATTTCACCTGGGTGCAGGCGGGCTGAGTCTGAAAAAAGAGTCAGAGAAGGGAGATAAGGGTGGGGCTGTTTTATAGGATTTGGGTAGGTAAAGGAAAATTACAGTCAAAGGGGGTTTGTTCTCTGGCGGGCAGGAGTGGGGGTCGCAAGGTGCCCAGTGGGGGTGCTTTTTGAGCCAGGATGAGCCAGGAAAAGGACTTTCACAAGGTAATGTCATCAGTTAAGGCAAGGACCGGCCATTTACACTTCTTTTTTGGTGGAATGTCATCAGTTAAGGCGGGGCAGGGCATATTCACTTCTTTTGTGATTCTTCAGTTACTTCAGGCCATCTGGGCATATATGTGCAAGTCACAGGGGATGCGATGGCTTGGCTTGGGCTCAGAGGCCTGACATTCCTGCCTTCTTATATTAATAAGAAAAATAAAACAAAATAATGGTAAAGTGTTGGGAAAATTTTGGGGGATGGTATGGAGAGAGAATGGGCGATGTTTCTCAGGGCTGCTTCAAGCGGGATTAGGGGCGGTGTGGGAACCTAGAGTGGGAGAGATTAAGCTGGAGGCAGGTCTTGTGGTAAGGGGTGATATTGTGGGGATGTTAGAAGAAACATTTGTCGTATAGAATGATTGGTGATGGCCTGGATACGGTTTTGTATGAATTGTAAAAACTAAATGGAATAACAGAAGGAGAAAAACAGGTATAAAAGGTCTAAGAATTGGGACGACTCAGGATGTCTGATTAGAGAGTGCTTAAGGAGATTCGGCATAGTCCTGCCAGCAAAGATTATTTATTTACTTCAAGAGTTAAGAGTGGCAGTTTGGGGATAGCACCAGGAGATATCAGCTGTGATGGCTTGGAAAAACAGTGTAAACCGGCAGTGTAAACAAGAGCAGGGCATGTATGAGTAGTTGAGAACGGTGAATAGGAGTATGACTAGACAGAAAATAGTAGGGATGACAAGTTTTTTTTGGTGGGGGGCACAGTCTAAGTTGGTCGTCTGGTGTCTGGAATGAGACTGGGGCCTAATAAAAAGGAGCGTCTATACAGGAGCTTAAATGGGCTGTATTCTGAGAAGGGAAACTGGTAAAACTATTGTCCAGTCCTTTTTAAATTGGTGGCTGAGCTTGGTGAGGTGTGTTTTTAAAAGACCTTTAGTCCATTCTACTTTTCTTGAAGACGGAGGACCATAAGGGATATAAAGGTTTCACTGAATACTAAGAGCCTGAAAAACTGCTTGGCTGATTTGACTAATAAAGGCTCGTCTGTTATCAGACTATATTGAGGTGGGAAGGCTAAATTGAGGAATTATGTCTGACAGAAGGGAAGAAATGACTGCGGTGGCCTTCTCAGACCCTGTAGGAAAGGCCTTTACTTATTCAGTGAAAGTGTCTATTTAGATTAAGAGGTATTTTAGTTTCCTGACTCGGGCATGTTGTTGAGAGGTTCTAAGAGGTGGGCTAGTGGCTTGTACTATAGCATAACCTGCCTTTGCTGGTGTGTGGCGATTAGGCCTGGTGGAACCGCCATCAATAAATCAAGTGTGATCTGGGTGAGGAACAGGAAAGAAGGAAATTTGGGGAAATGGGGTGAATGTCAGGTGGATCAGAGACATACAGTCATGGGGGTCAGGTGTGGTATCAGGAATAATATGGGAGGCTGGATTGATTGAAGTCCGGGCCAGGAACAATGGTAATTGTGGGAGACTCAACAAAGAGTGAGTATAGCTGAAGGAGCCAGGAAGCAGAAAGTATATGCGTCAGGTGTGAGGAAGAAAACAGATTTTGGAAGTTATGAGAACTGTAAAGAGTGAGTTGAGCATAGTTTGTGATTTTGAGGGCCTCTAAAAGTATTAAAGCAGCAGCAGCCACTGCACGCAAACATGAGAGCTAGGCTAAAACAGTAAGGTCAAGTTGTTTGGACAGAAAGGCTACAGGGTGTGGTCCTGGCTCTTGTGTAAGAATTCTGACCGCGCTAACCATGCCTAGGAAGGAAAGGAGTTGTTGTTTTGTAGAAGGTGCTGGGGTTTGAGAGATCAGTCGGACACGATTGGCAGGGAGAGCACGTGTGTTTTTATGAGAATTATGCCGAGATAGGTAACAGATGAGGAAGAAATTTGGGCTTGATTGAAGTAATGGGGGCTGCCTGTGAAGCTTTGTGGCAGTACAGCCTAGGTAATTTGCTGAGCTTGATGGGTGTCAGGGTCAGTCCAAGTGAAAGCGAAGAGAGGCTGGGATTAAGGGTGCAAAGGAATAGTAAAGAAAGCATGTTTCAGATCTAGAACAGAATAATGGGTTGTAGAGGCAGGTATTGAGGATAGGAGAGTATATGGGTTTGGCACCACGGGGTGGATAGGCAAAACAATTTGGTTGATAAGGCAGAGATCCTGAACTAACTTGTAAGGCTTGTCTGGTTTTAGGACAGGTAAAATGGGGGAATTGTAAGGAGAGTTTATAGGCTTTAAAAGGCCATGCTGTAGCAGGCGAGTGATAACAGACTTTAATCTTTTTAAAGCGTGCTGCGGGATGGGATATTGGCGTTGAGTGGGGTAAGGGTGATTAGGTTTTAATGAGATGGTAAGGGGTGCATGATCGGTCACCAAGGAGGGAGTAGAGGTATCTTATACTTGTGGGTTAAGGTCGGGGGATACAAGAGGAGGACACAAAGGAGGCTTTGGATTGGGAAGAAGGGCGGCAATGAGATATAGCTGTGGTCCAGGAATAGTCAGGAAAGCAGATAATTTAGTTAAAGTGTCTCAGCCTAATAAGGGAACTGGGCAGGTGGGGATAACTAAAAAGGAGTGCTTAAAAGAGTATTGTCTAAGTTGGCACCAGAGTTGGGGAGCTTTAAGAGGTTTAGAAGCCTGGCCGTCAATACCCACAACAGTTATGGAGGCAAGGGAAACAGGCCCTTGAAAAGAAGGTAATGTGGAGTGGGTAGCCTCCGTATTGATTAAGAAGGGGACGGGCTTACCTTCCACTGTGAGAGTTACCCGAAGCTCGGCGTCCGTGATGGTCCAGGGGGCTTCCGAGGCGATCGGGCAGTGTCAGTCTTCAGCCGCTAAGCCGAGAAGATCTGGGAAGGAGTCAGTCAGAGAGCCTTGGGCCAGAGTTCCAGGGGCTCTGGGAGTGGCTGCCAGGTGAGTTGAACAGTCTGATTTTCATGGGGTCCTACACAGATGGGACACGGCTTAGGAGGAATGCCAGGCTGCGGGCATTCCTTGGCCCAGTGGCCAGATTTCTGGCACGTGTAGCAAGCTCCTGTGGGAGGAGGTTCTGGAGGAACGCCTGGCCGCTGCGGTTCGGGCATTTGGAAGTTCTTGTGTGCTGGAGATGTGGCTGGGGTTTGTCTCACAGTGGAGGCAAGGAATTGCAACTTTTTTCTGTTATTGTACACCTTGAAGGCGAGGTTAATTAAGTCCTGTTGTGGGGTTTGAGGGCCAGATTCCAATTTTTGGAGTTTTATTTAATGTCGGGAGCAGATTGGGTAATAAAATGTATATTGAGAATAAGATGGCGTTTTGACCTTTTAGGGTCTAGGGCTGTAAAGCGTCTCAGGGTTGCTGCCAAACGAGCCATGAACTGGGCCGGGTTTTTATATTTGATGAAAAAGAGCCTAAACGCTTCTGATTTGGGATAAAGAAAAAGGAGCATTAACCTTGACTATGCCTTTGGCTCCAGCCACCTTTTTAAGAGTAAATTGCTGGGCAGGTGGAGGAGGGCTAGTCACGGAACGAAACTGTAAGCCGGACCAGGTGTGAGGAGGGGAGGCGATAAAAAGATTACAGGGTGCAGGAGCGGAGGCTGAGGAAGAATTGGGACCTAGCTTGGGCTGGCGAGGAGGGGAGAGGTCAGATGGGTCTGTAGAAAAGGAAGATTAGAAAGACTCAGCGACGCTTGGGGTTGGTACTGAGGGGACAGGCGGGAGGGAAAGAAAGAAGATTTGAGACGAGTTGCACTGGGCACAGAGACTAGGAAGGGACTGATGTGTAAAATAATGCCTGGACGTCAGGCACCTCAGACCATTTGCCTATTTTACGACAATAATTATTTAGATTTTGCAGGATGGAAAAATTCAAAGTGCCATTTTCTGGCTATTTGGAACTACTGTCGAGTTTGTATTGGGGTCAAGTGGCATTGCCGAAGAAAATAAGGCATTTAGGTTTTAGGTCAGGTGTGAGTTGAAGAGGTTTTAAGTTTTTGAGAACACAGGCCAAGGGAGTAGAAGGAGGAATGGAGGGTGGAAGGTTGCCCATAGTGAAGGAAACAAGCCTAGAGAAAAGAGAGAGTAGAGAAATGGAGGGAAGGAGTTCGGGGGTTCTTACCTTCCAGAAAAGTGGGAAAAGGGGTTGGGGTGCAGAGATAAGAGGTCGGGGCATGGAAATAAGGGATTGGGGCACAGAGATAAGAGGTTGGGGAGTGGAAATAAGAGATTGAGGGTTCTTGCCCCATAGAAAAGCGGAACTTGCCGCTAAGGGTGAAGGAGAAGGGGTTGAGGGGTACTTGCCCCTCTCCCAGAAAAGCAGAGAAGGGGTAGAGACAAGGAGAGAAGGGGTTGAGGTACTTGCCCCTTCCCCAGAAAAGCAGGACTTGCCGCTAAAGGTGAAGGACCAAGGCAGGCGTCCCTGCATGGTCTGACACCCTTGAAACGTGGGTGTATAATCAGAGAGGCGTCCCTGCAATGATTAAACACCAAGGGAAGGCTGCCTTCCCAGTCCGTGACCGGCGCCGGAGTTTTGGGTCCATGGATAAAACGTGTCTCCTTTGTCTCTCCCAGAAAATGAAAGGAATTGAAATTAAGAGAAGGGAGAGATTGAAGAGTGGAAAGGAGAAAGTGGTTGAGGGACAGTGAGAGAGGTTGGAGAAGAGAGTAAGAAGAGGCCGCTTACCTGATTTAAAATTGGTGAGATGTTCCTTGGGCTGGTCGGTCTGAGGACCTGAGGTCGTAGGTGGATCTTTCTCACGGAGCAAAGAACACAGGAGTACAGGGGATTGATCTCCCAAGGGAGGTCCCCGATCCGAGTCACGGCACCAAATTTCATGCGCGTCGGTGTGAAGAGACCACCAAACAGGCTTTGTGTGAGCAACATGGCTGTTTATTTCACCTGGGTGCAGGCGGGCTGAGTCTGAAAAAAGAGTCAGCGAAGGGAGATAAGGGTGGGGCTGTTTTATAGGATTTGGGTAGGTAAAGGAAAATTACAGTCAAAGGGGGTTTGTTTTCTGGCGGGCAGGAGTAGGGGTCGCAAGGTGCTCAGTGGGGGTGCTTTTTGAGCCAGGATGAGCCAGGAAAAGGACTTTCACAAGGTAATGTCATCAGTTAAGGCAAGGACCGGCCATTTACACGTCTTTTGTGGTGGAATGTCATCAGTTAAGGTGGGGCAGGGCATATTCACTTCTTTTGTGATTCTTCAGTTACTTCAGGCCATCTGGGCGTATACGTGCAAGTCACAGGGGATGCGATGGCTTGGCTTGGGCTCAGAGGCCTGACAGGGGTCTCATAAATACTGGGAAGCATATTGAGCGGCCCATGGAACCCATTCTGTGCTCTCTGTTGGGGTCTGCTGTAAAGTAGGCAGGGACACCTGTTTTCCTCTTTGTCCTGGGCAGCAGCTGCTCCCACAGAACAGTCTCTGGGGAAGGGGTGGCACACACTGGTCAGTCCCTTTGTTTCTACTGCCTTTACCACCCTCCTGAGAATGTTTTCTTTCCCGCCTTTATTTTTCTTTACCTGTTTCATGTCAATGACCCATGGGGTTTAGGCAGTTCCTTTTGCCCTGCTTCCTCCATCTAATGCTTACCATCCATAAGTATTTGTATTTGGAAAGCAGACTGGATCCTGGTTTCCAGGTCATGTCGATTTTATGCATTATTATTTGTAACCAGAGAATCTTCAGCTCCCAGTGGTCAATCTGTCTTCCATCCTGTCTTCCATGAAAGGGTTAACCTTAGGAAGCCTGTAAAGGCAGCACTGCTTCCCTTCTGCGTTCAAGGGCTGATAGGCTGCTGGGCTAACCATATTAGGAGTGTGTGAAGATTTAGCTCTGGGTGTACACAGCGGGAGCTCTCCTGTCAGTCTGAAAGGCAGGAGCTATATTTAGTAACAGGCACTTGGGAATAGCAGCTTAAACGTGGGAGTGGGTTGCTGGAATGCAGATGTGTAGTGAATCTCTACTCCAATCCCCATGGAAGCTTTAAGCTGAAGCCTTAGGAGAGATCTGGGCTCTTCTTCCCCCCACCTTCTCCACATTGTCTGGATGGCATCCTTTGCAAGTCTAGAAAGCATAATGCAGTCCCTCTCGGCTCCGCTCCTTTTTTAACATGGAGAAAGAGAATTGTGATTGTTGAAAGAACCATCACTCAAAATGTTGTGAACAGTGATTTTTCTCCCCTAAGAACTCACCTCCTTTCCCATATCTGGTTAACTAACCACTAATAGGATGAATGGAATAATTTTATTGCCCTATGATTTCTCCCCTTAGGAAATAAAAATAATCACCTCCCTTTTGTTTTGCAGGAATTTTTGGTAGTAGAAGTATTTTATTTCAGGTGATAGAGGTCCTTAGGTCTAGAAATGTCTTCTTTATGGAATGTAATTATATAATCAGGACATAATTATTATGTATGAAGTGATTTCTTATAAGTCTATGCAAATTTATACAAAATTCTATGAGAGTAAAAATTAAGGAAAAATAGTCTTATAGATAAAGTTGTTAACACATTTAATGGTATGGAAGCAAATGCCTATTTAATTGACTCATGGCAGCTCTATTTTAAGGGTAATTTGTTTATCTAGAAATGATCAGTCCAGGGCAGCTTTTGGGCCCATTTCACTTTGCTTTGCTTCTTTCTCTTTTTTTTTTTTCTTTCTCCCTCTTCTTCCTTTCTTTCTCTCTCTCTCTCTCTTTCTGTTTCTCTCTCTCCTGTCTGTCTGTCTTGGCTAAATTTGCCATTTCAATTGACTGAGACTTTAGTTTAAATGAATAGACTAAGGTCATTTCTAACTTTGAGGTTTGGGAAACATGTAAACATTTAGAATATGGAGTTCTCCTTGTTTCCACATATTTACATCTGCTGTAAATCTACTTAATTTCCCCAGATTATTCGGTAGTGGAGAGTTCTAGTCAAAATATCACATAGGCCTAAAGCTCTGGCTGGGAAGATCATCTGACTAAAAGGCAAAGCCCTTGTTTTTTTTCACTACCATCTACTACAGCCAGAATCCTTTCACTTCTGAGCTCCAGCTAGGAGGAGATGATTGGATTATTTAGATAACCCTGGTTAAAAGTAACAAAGTGTAGTGTAATCTAATATGTGTGATTATCTGGGGATCCTTGTTGGAAAAGAATCTCAAGGAATTTAGCTAGGTCAGCACACTCTCTTGGGGGCAGTGATAGGATTCAGCAAAAGTGTTCACAACAAATAGAAGACGTACATAGTGACCACAGATGGGAAATAGGGTTAACCTTGACACTCAGTACAGACCCAGAGGGAGGTGGAAAAGCTGGGGGTGGGGGCAGATATTGGAGATGGAGTAGATTCAACAGAGGAGGCAAGGAAAGGCAACCGGGAAGGCTAAGGAATACAAATAGCCAGGGAGGGAAGCCCAGGAAAAGCTGGAGTCAGGAGGACACCCCACCAGAGATGATGGTGTCTGCAGAGGCAGGAAGATAGAGTATGACATTAGGGAACTTCGGAAGGTAGTGTTGAGAGATCCAGGCCGGCAGCGAAGATGGTGAGATTGGCTAACCAGGTGCTAGGCTCCTACCATCATCTTGGGGTGGTAGTTTGAACGGGGGGTTGGGGAGGGAAAGGGGCAATGCAAGGCAGAGATGCATTCATTGAGGAACTAAAATAGTGAAGATTTCTAGGCAAAGATTCAGAGATAAATCAGTAAGAATCTAACTTCCAGAGAATTATAATTCATAGTAAGTGATCATTATAACTAGTGTTGATTGCCCATTATATGCTAAGCACTGCAAACACTGAGAGGGCACGTTGCATGCACTGTCTCCACTAATTTATACAGCAAGCTTATGAAATCCAATCTCTTATGTTCATTGTTAAACATGAGGAAACTGAGGCACCAAGTGGTACTTGACTCGTAAGTGATAGAGCTGGGATTTAAGCTCAGGTCTCTGACCAGAACCCCAAAACTTAATTGCTTCACTATAGTAACTGCCAAACTGCTATAGATCTTAAAATCAGTTGGGGGTTTTATTTTAAGAAAAAGGTAGAAGCTCTTTTTCTAGAGTTGTTGTTTTTCTCACAGCAAATTGGATCTGATGCTGTTAGTTGTCAAACATAAGTGCTCATTATATGCAAGGCATTGTGCTAAGTGCTGGGCCTGCAGAGATACTTTTGACATAGTAGCTGAAGAAACATTATATAGACAAATACATGAATCACAACGTGATGTGATAAGTGCTTGGAGAGCCAGATATTAAGTGCTGATGGGAAAACTAAGGAGGAATGGAATTAGAGAAAGCTTGAAGACCGAAAATTTGAGGAGCCTGGAGGGAACAATAACAGCTCCCCGGGTGAATAAGGCCATGAAGAATGTCACAGGTGGAGAGGGGAGATTTTTGAAGGTAGAAGTCATCAAGGATCTACAACCAGCCTGGCGTGGTGGGAAATGAACCTGAGAATGTAGATTGAAGCCATGTTATATGAAAGGCTTGTATGCCAGAGTAAGGAAATTAGAACCCCCTGAGTTCTGAACAAGAGCTCCTAAAATCACCTTGTCTTAAGGTCTGGACTGACCTCAGAGCTAGTGGGATGATTCTGCAGGCCAGTCTAAGAAATGATACCTCGTGGGAAGAAAAGATCCCAAGACAAGCAACTGGCAGACCCTAATAAGAGCCAGGTAAACAGGGTCCAGGGTAAAGAATTTGTCCTGCAGGGTCATAACTGTTTTCTGGAATAAATAGATAAGTCATCCTCCTTTGCCCTATAACACTCTTAGCTCATTAGTCTGAGCTTCTGATGAAAACTTGTCTCAGTACTCACTAAGATTTTCAATTTCCTTCTTAACCTGTAAGAAGCTGATTAAATTAAGCACTATTGACATCCAGGCTCTTAAAATAGAAAATCATTTAAAGGGATGGGCAGTCTGAATAACAAATAGTGTCACTCTCTGGTTCTCCTTTCTGCCACCCTCCCTTGGTTCTAAAGATAGGATATTTAAATGGATGGAGCCCTGTAGGCTTGTAGGTTTCCCTGGTGAACTCAACTCTCCACGTGCTCAGTAGCTACTTGTTGAAGAAAATAACAGAACCAGGCTGATTAATTTTAAATTGATGCTTTAACCTTAAATTCTGGATAATAAACCTCAAATGAACACCTGACAATGGCCGGGAATTCTACTATGCTTCCATAGTGAGTGTACTTGCCTATTCTTTCAGATAGTTATTTCACACAATCTGCTCTCTCTTCCAACTTCCCACATCTCCCCTCTTCTTTTCAATGAATGACTTTGTCTTATTATTAAGAAAATTGGATCCAGTAATCCCAGTCTAGGTATAAATCTAAAGAAAATGAAATCAGTAGGTCAAAGATGTATCTGCACTCCCATGTCCATTGTAGCATTACTCACAATAGATAAGATATGGAATCCACCTAAATGTCCATCAATAGATGAATGGCTAAGGAAAATGTGATATATATACATAATGGAATATGATTCAGCCTTTAAAAAGAAGGAAATTTAGTCATTTGGGACAACATGGCTAAACCTGGAGGACATTATGTTAAGTGAAATAAGCCAAGCACAGAAAGACAAATACAACCTGATCTCCCTTAGATGTGGAGTGTAAAAAAGTTGAACTCATAGAAACAGAGAGTAGAATGGTGATTACTGGGTGATGGGGGTATGGGGGATTGCCGGGGGAAATGCCAGTCAAAGGACAAAAAAATTTTAGTTTGGAGAAATAAGTTCAAGAGATCTGTTCTACAACACGGTGACTACAGTTAACAACGTGTTGAATTCTTAAAAATTGCTAAGAGAATAGATTTTAAGTGTTCTCACCATAAATATGTGAGGTAATGCATATAATAATTAGCTTCATTTAGACATTTCATGATGTAAACATATTTCAAAACAACATTTTGTACACAATAAATACATGTGATTTTTTTGTCAGTGAGAAACAAATTATAAAAAAGAAAGAAAAGAAAAGCTCTTAGCTGGGTGTGGTGGCTCATTCTGTAATCCCAGCTCTTTGGGAGGCCGAGGCGGGCAGATCACTTGAGGTCAGGAGTTCGAGACCAGCCTGGCCAAAATGGCGAAACCCTGTCTCTACTAAAAACAAAAAAATTAGCTAGGCCTGGTGGTGCACACCTGTAATCCCAGCTACTTGGGAGGCTGAGGCAGGAGAATCACTTGAACCTGAGCAGCGGAGGCTGCAGTGAGCCGAGATGGCACCATTGAACTCCAGCCTGAGCAATAAGAATGAAACTCCATCTCAAAAAAAAAAAAAAAAGAAAACCTCTCAGAGAAGATAACCTGATCTTCCTGCCGATCTTCCCTATAAATCTACACCTATGCACGTCAGAGGCCAGTTCCTGTACATCTGTGTTCTATATCCTGTTCCCTTTTGAGGGACTTTATCCCTTCCATGAGTCTCTGTCACTTCTGTGTTGTCAATTTCTTTTTTTCTGGATCATTCTATCAGTGTACAAACAGTCTTCAGTATCTTCTACCTTTAACAAAAATACCTTACATTTCCCAATCCCACATTTCCTTCCACATATTGTGTCATTTCTTAGCTCTGATTTTTTTTTTTTTTCTTTAAGATGGAGTCTCACTTTATCATCCAGGTGGGAGTGCAGTGGCGCGGTCTCAGCTCACTGCACCCTCTGCTTCCCAACTGATTCTCCTGCCTCAACCTCCCGAGTAGCTGGGACTACAGGCGTGCACCACCACACCTGGCTAATTTTTGTATTTTTAGTAGAGACAGGGTTTCACCATGTTGACCAGGCTGGTCTCGATCTCCTGACCTCAAGTAGTCCGCCCGCCATGGCCTCCCAAAGTGCCGGGATTACAGGCGTAAGCCACCAATCCCGACCTTCTTAGCTGTGATTTATTGTGACTTATGGAACCAGTTGTTTAAATTTGGGCTGTTTACTTCCTCACCTCCTATTTCCCCTTAAAGTCATCCCAATTTGACTTCTTTTGCTACTACTCTACTGAAAACTGTTCTTAGGCCTGTTTGGCACCTGTATAGGTTCAGTTCAAGGGGTTTGGAGAAAAACACACATGTTGATTGACTTCACTTTAAATTTGTGATCATTAACTACTAGCATGTCCTAAATGCTGCCCGGGACTTAGACTCCATTTCTCTCATTTATTCACCCTCCAAGCCTCTGAGTATTTCTTTTTTTTTTTTTTTCTTTTTTTTTTTGAGACGGAAGTCTTTCTCTGTCGCCCAGGCTGGAGTGCAGTGGCATGATCTCGGCTCACCGCAAGCTCCGCCTCCTGGGTTCACGCCATTCTCCTGCCTCAGCCTCTGAGTTAGCTGGGACTACAGGCGCCCTCCACCACGCCCAGCTAATTTTTGTATTTTTAGTAGAGACGAGGTTTCTCCTTGTTAGCCAGGATGCTCTCGATCTCCTGACCTCGTGATCGGCCCGCCTCAGCCTCCCAAAGTGCTGGGATTACAGGCGTGAGCCACTGTGCCCGGACACCTCTGAGTATTTCATACTTTCTCTTTTCTCCTTGGACCTTCAGCACCTTCCCATTCTTACTCTAGCTGATGACCTCGCTTCCTATTTTACTTTCCCGTTTTATAGAAGACCAAAATAATCTAAGAGACATCCACAGGTGCACACAGCTGAATAGACTCATTACTTGAATCTGTGTCCAATGTTCTGTCCTGTTAACTCAGGTGTCCATGGGCCTGGCTAAGGTCAGCTGCTTTATTTTTGCACTAAATCCCATCTTCTCTTGCCTAGTCGATCACATGGCCCTGCCAATTCTGCCCTTTCATCTCTTATCATCAGTGTTTCTCCTTCTGTGTGATTATTCCCAGCAGCCTTCAAATATGCATCACTTCTTCCATTAAAGATAACAGTAACAAAACTCTTGAATTGCTTGAGCCAGGGAGGAGGAAGTTGCAGAGAGCCGAGATCACGCCACTGCACTCCAGTCTGGGTGACAGAGCGAGACCCTGTCTCAAAACAAAACAAACAAAAAAACAAAAACTACAAAAACTTCTCTTGGCCTAATTTCTCCTCCAGTTGCCATTCCATTTCTCTTCTTCCTTTATACCAAATTGCTTGGAAAGAGTAAGCTACACTCGATGCCTTCTCATTTTGCTCTTCTCATTCTCTCTTGAATCCTTTCCAATCAGGCTTCTTCCCCACCACTCCAAAACTGGTTTTTATGAGGTCAACGACTGGCCTCTAAGTTGTTCCATCCAAACAGCGTTCTTATTTGTCATTACCTGAGTATTTATTTTATCATGCTCTTCTCCCTGAAACACTTGCTTCACCTGACAAACAAAACCTCATGATTGCCTAGCTTTCCACCTACCTCTCTGGGAGCTCCTGTGGGACTCCCTTTCTGATTCTTCTTTATTGCCCCAACCTCAGATACTGGAGAAGTCCTGGGGTCAGCATAGGAACCTTGTCCCTTTGCATTCCACTCTTGCTCTCTTGGTGGTCTCATCCAGCCTCATGTCTTTAAATTCCATATTATGTGCTCTGATTACTTCCAATTTCATATCATATCCTGGACCTCTTCCCTGAACTCCAGATTCATTTATGTGTCAAATGCCCATTTAACTTATCCATAGGGATATTGAATAAGCATTTCAAACTTAGTATGTCCAAAATGGCTCTCTTTATTTTCTCCCCTAAAACCTGCTTCTCCTGCAATCTTCCTTGTCTCAAGAAATGACCACATTCGTTGATCTTCACAGACAAAAACTCTTAAAGTCATTCTTTTTCTCTCTCATGCCCTCCATCTAATTCATTGGCAAGTCCTGTGGCTCTACATTCAAAATATTTCCCAGAGTTCAACCACTGTTTTTTTGAGACGGAGTCTCATTCTGTCACCCAGGCTGGAGTGCAATGGCATGATCTTGGCTCACTGCAACCTCTGCCCCCTGGGTTCAAGAGATTCTCCTGCCTCAGCCTCCCTTGCGAATAGCTGGGATTACAGGTGTCCACCACCACACCCAGCTAATTTTTTGTATTTTATTTTATTTTTTATTTTTTGAGACAGAGTCTCGCTCTGTTGCCCAGGCTGGAGTGCAGTGGTGCGATTTTGGCTCACTGCAAGCTCCACCTCCTGGGTTCACGCCCTTCTCCTGCCTCAGCCTCCCTAGTAGCTGGGACTACAGGTGCCCGCCACCTCGCCTGGCTTTTTTTTTTTTTTTTTTTTTTTTTGTATTTTTAGTAGAGACGGGGTTTCACTGTGTTAGCCAGGATGGTCTCGATCTCCTGACTTCGTGATCTGCCCACCTCGGCCTCCCAAAGTGCTGGGATTACAGGCGTAAGCCACCGCGCCCGGCCTAATTTTTGTATTTTTAGTAGAGATGGGGTTTTGCCATGTTGGCCAGACTGGTCTCAAACTCCTGACTTCAAGTGATCCGCCCACCTCAGCCTTGCAAAGTGCTAGGATTACAGGCATAAGCCACTGGGCCTCGCCAAGTTTAACTACTCTTATCAACTCACTTTTAATATCCTGGCCAAACCATCATCATGTATTGCCTAGATTATGAGGAACAGCTTCCTAACTGGTCTCTCTACTTCTGTTCTTGCTTCCTCTATAGTCTATTGTTAACACAGTAGCCAGAGCTACCCACTTAAAACCTGTCAGATCATGTAAATCTTCTGTTTGCAATTTTCCAATGTCTTTCCCATATCATTCAGAATAAGTCATAAAGTTCACATGGTGCCTATGAAACCCTAGCCATGCTGAACCTGTTCCCCATCTTTCCTCTACATAGTCACTCCTCACTTCCTCCACTTCTACCACTGTGGCCTCCATGCTATTGTTTCACGTGCCAAGCACATTCTTGCCTCAGGGCCTTTTCAATTATTTTTCCTTCTGTCTGGAATGCTTTTCCCCAGATACCTTTGTGGCTCATCCCTCGCTTGAAGGTTTTACTGAAATGTCAAGTTTCTGTTTAGGCATTTTCCAACCAGCCTGTCTAAAATGAGCCCCCTTCCCCCAGACACACTTCCTTTCCCCTCTCTGTTTTTCCTTTCACGATAGCACTTAACACTATTTTGCATACTATATCTTTTATTTATTTCTCTTATGATCTGCCTCTCCCATTGGAAGGCAAGCTCCATAGGACGGACCGGAATTTTTTTTTTTTTTTTGAGACCAAGTCTCACTCTGTCACCAGGCTGGAGTGCAGTGGCACAATCTCAGCTCAGTGCAAGCTCCGCCTCCCAGGTTCCAGTGATTCTCCTGCCTCAGCCTCCCAAGTAGCTGGGACTACAGGTGTCCGCCACCACGCCCAGCTAATGTTTTGTATTTTTAGTAGAGACGGGGTTTCACTGTGTTAGCCAGGATGGTCTCAATCTCCTGACCTTGTGATCCACCCGCCTTGGCCTCCCAAAGTGCTGGGATTACAGGTGTGAGCCACCGTGACTGGCCAGGATGGGAATTTTAAAATATTTCATTCACCACAATATCTTCAGTCCCTAGAACAGTGCCTGGTGCCAAATAGATATTTGCTTGATGCATAAATGAACTCTGCTAAATGCTGTTAAGAACTGAGTAAAATAAGGACATAGAAAGTCTAAAAACTTTTAGCTGCATAGGTGCAGGTACTGAATAGGCAGATAGTCAGATTTAACCAGGGTTTGTTTCAGCCCCACAACCACTTCATTTCCCCAGTTCCTCACTTATTACAGGTAAGACTGTGGAAAATTTAACACCTTCGTGTCTCAATTTCCAACTATGAACAGAAAATCATAAAGTGTCTATCCTCCATTAAATAGGAGGGTAGATGTTAATACATGTGAAGTACTTAGAACAATGGGACAATAAACAGTGCTCAATACATGCTATTGATCATCAGTCTTGTTGTTCTAGTGATTATTGGTAAAGCACTCTTCCCTCTGCTTCCATGATACCACGTTTCTAGTTTCCTCCTACCTGATTGGCTATTCCTCCCCTCTTCTCTGCTGGTTCTTCCTCCCTTATCAGACCACTAAACATTAGAATGGGCCCCAGGGCTCAGTGCTAGGTGCACTTCTTTCCTTTAAAGCTCTCTCCCTAGATGATTGTGATGGTTAATACTGAGTGTCAACTTGATTGGATTGAAGAATGCAAAGTATTGATCCTGGGTTTGTCTGTGAGGGTGTTGCCAAAGGAGATTAACATTTGAGTCAGTGGGCTGGGGAAGGCGGACCCACCCTTCATCTGGGTGGGTACCATCTAATCAGCTGCCAGTGAATATAAAGAAGACAGAAAAATGTGAAAGGGCTAGGCTGGCCTAGCCACCCAGCCCACATCTTCCTCCCGTGCTGGATGCTTCCTGCCCTCGAACATCGGACTCCAAGTTCTTCAGTTTTGGAACTTAGACTGGCTCTCCTTGCTCTTCAGCTTGCAGATAGCCTATTGTGGGACCTTGTAATCGTGTGAGTTAATATTTAAAAAGCTCATATGTGTATATATATAATAGGAAATATAATATATTTATATATATTTACATATATTTATATATTTTATATATATATATATAAATCTATATATATGTGTAAATATGTATATATATATAAGCCTCCACCTGGATGGCTTAGCACTGTGGTC
This sequence comes from Homo sapiens, assembly GCF_000001405.40. Taxonomy (NCBI): domain Eukaryota; kingdom Metazoa; phylum Chordata; class Mammalia; order Primates; family Hominidae; genus Homo; species Homo sapiens. The sequence goes on from NC_000012.12 coordinate 67,782,627, forward strand.
TTTGCTTTCTGACATGCTTTCTATAGTGTTTAAAGGAATTCTGCAGAAATCTTCTAAGTTTAGTGTAGATATGTGTATGTTTCACAAGTGGATAATGACATTTCACCCAATGAGATTTCCACCCAATGACAGAACAAGCTTCAGCAAAGGCGATGCATAACCATAACTTCTACTCAAAGGCATACAGAGAGAGATGAGTCTCCAGTTAGAAGAAAATCAACTAATTTTGTATAACCAGCTTTTATTGAGCAATCTCTGAACTTCTTACTTAAGAAACCAGATTTCAAACATGATAGCTTATTTTCTAGTTCCCCAGATCCACATACATATAGGCTTCCTGGAAAGAAAGGTACAAGTAGAGAATGCCAGACACACTACAGATTGCCAAAATACACTCATTTGATTTTCCAATGGCATCAATGTGGCAGCTGGATCCAAGATCCCAGGACTTACTCAACAGAAAAAACAGAGACTGGCCTTTGGTAATTCACTGGCTTAGATATAAATCAGCCAGGGGAATGGAGCCTTTTTTTTCCCCCTAAAATATTGATCAGTTGTCTTTCACTAAGATATATTGATCTAATAAAAGAGACATAGAAATTGATCCTGAACCCAACTTTGCAGTGCATGATGAGTCTCTTGACAGCCATGAAAAAAATCAATTTATGTGTAATTAAAAAGAATGATAAAAAATTAACATAAATGAAAATTGAAAAACAGAATCCTACCTATCCAGTTGCATTTTGGGATATTTCTTCCCATATATGTCTAGTTTAACAAAGTTTTAAAGCTTCTTTGCCTAGAGGTAAAATAAGTTTTCAGCTTCCTGTCTGTGTTATACAAAAGGATGTCTTAGAGCCTCTGATCTTCCTGAGGAGATGACCCCACCTAAATCTCCAGGGAAAGTCCCTTTGTTTTAGGTTCCAGGCCTTCCCTTTTGCAATTTCCCTCTGACTTTACCTTGAGACAACTTCTTCCTCTCTCTTAAACTTTTCTGTGCTCTTTCACTTCCTTCCTCTCCCTTCCCTGGCTTCCTCCCTAGTCAGACCCGCCCTTGAATAAACACATGTATCCTGAAGTGTTATTGATCAGTTATACTAATTGTGTTATTTTTAGGTATTTTACATTTTATCAGTAGATAAATCCCTTTTGTAGTTAAAGTCATCAAAATAGAATTTGACTTGTGAAATTTTATTCACCAGCCCTCTTGAGGAAATTATGGCATGTAGGAATTATATAAGCTGTAGAGCAAGCAGGCTTGGATTGATCGTCTGTTCTGCCAATTAACAACTAGGTGACCTTATGTAGATTATGGAACCTCACTGAACCTCTTTAAAATGGAAATTGTAATGTCTATTCCACAGGGTTTCTGAGAGGATTAGGTCAAATAACATATGGAGACATTCTAGCACAAATCCTGACACACAGTTGCCTTCAGATGAGTCTCCCTCCCCTACTTTTCCTTATATCATCTGACATGGATTCATGACACTTCTTAGGACCTATGTCAAGCCTTTCCCCATTACTTAGACCTCACTAGGAAGAAGCTGGTTTCAAACTAGACTGACAACAGCAGTAGGCAAGAAACTGGGTAAAGTTCTGGAGCAATGCTTGCTGAAGGACTTAATTTGAGAAGCACAGGGGATCCTGGGGCAACTATCAGCAATTGGGACCTTCCTCCACTCTGTGAATGATAGAGTTGTGGAAGGTCCCATTGGGTCACTAAGACACAGTGATGAGTAACCAAATAGAAAGTTCAGAGGTTCCATCAAGCGCATGTATTGAAAAATCTTCGTGTCAAATCTTCACTGGACAAAGATGAATAAAACATTCTCGTCAAGAAGCTAAATAGGACAATATGGCATGGCCATTAAGAAAAAGGCCAACTGTCCAGTGTGGATGCCCTTCCATTGCTGGCTGGTAGAGTGTTTGAACAAGGGTCTAGGGAGTGTGGCTGGGCCAGATCTAGAGTGACTTCTCAGGCCTTACTTCTCAGGCCTTACTGAGGAGTTTGTACATTGCTTTGTAGATAATAGTCACTGGAGAATTTTGAATTTGAGAGTATTCTAGAAATACTATGATAGTAGCACAAAGAAAGTTTATTTAAGACGGCTGGCCTGGATGAATAAAAACCATTTAAGATACCATTGAAATAATAAAAGAAAAAAGGGAGAAGGAACTAAGAGAAGGGAGAAGAAGTAAGGCATTGGCAGTGAGAATTGATAGGGACAGCTTCAATAATTATTAGGAGGTAGAATTAAGAGGGCAAAGTGACTTCTGAACTGTATTCCAGGAAGTGGAAGGAGCTAGAATGGTTTCTGTTTTAGCTGCTAGTGTGGACATCAGAAATGGAACAGTGTTGTGGAAAAGGCAAGTTCAGTTTTCGATGCTTTCAGTTTGAGGCACTTAATGGGCCACCCAGTGGACGATGTCCAATAGACAGTTGGATTTATGAATCAAGAGCTCAAGAAAGAACTGGCTTGGAAAAACAGGATCGAGAGTCATCAGCCTGTTGTTGGTGGTTGATGTCATAAGATTCAATTAAATTGTCTAAGAAGAATATTTAGAGGAAAAGAGGGAATAAGCAGACTCTCCTAGATCACTAAAGTTTTGGCAGCAGACAAAAGTAGAAGTGGTATGAGAACACATCGAGAAGTACTTACAGAAGTAGGATGAGAATGGGAATAAATTAATGTCATAGAAGTAAAGACAAGAAAGAATATCTGAGCAGCAGTGTTAATGCTGCACAGAGGGCAAGTACAATAAGGACCAAGAAGCATCCTCTGCAGGTAACAAGGCCACATCTACAGCTGAAGGAGTCAGTCCTGTGGATTGAAAAAATCAAGGAGGGACCCTAACCTATGAGGGACCTGTGATAGGTACAACTTACCAAAACAGACACTCAGGAACAAGGACCAAGAAAGATGCCCAACAACACAAGTTGGTGGCAAAGATGAGGCTGGTCTCAGACCAGGAGAGAGCACATTTATCAAACAGATGTTCAAGGTTGGGGGTCAGTGAAGAGCATAGGTGAATTGACACGAAGCCCCAGACTTACTTAAATATATTACTAGAATAGGGCCAAACTTACAGGTTTCTGTCAAATGACGGAAGCTTTTTGGGAGCCACCTTTTCTACTTAAATCATTTCTTTGCATCTTGGGTTAGTCAGTGCAATTTGGATTGAAAGTATCATAAACCCAACTCAAACTAGCTAAAGTAAAAAGGGAACAATATTGGAAGAATATGATATATCTCATATAGTTAAAAGATTGAACAATGAAATAACAAACGATGATATGCAGGTAATCATCAGGAAAATGGAAACTCGAGTCAAGTCCTGCCAGGATCCTCTTTCTCAATTTCTCCTCACCTCTTCTTTTCTTCATGTTAACTTCATTCTCTCTACATAAACCACTTCCTCACCAATAGTACCCAAGTTTGTATCTTACCATTAGGGAGAGCCAGTTCTAAAAATACCTCAGGGACAGACTTGATTGGGCCTGGTACCACCTGTGGTGGCTGAAGAGCGACCAGGAATCACACTTCTGGAATGGGCAAAGTAGAGAGGAGCACTCTACAGAAAAAAAGGGTCGAAAGAGCTGGGTTGACAAAGCAATTGATGCCCAGTCTGCACATTCAACTTCAAAGAAGATTTAGGGTATATTAATAGTGTGACCAGATGTCTTTATTTGTCTGGAAAGTCCCTTTTTACACCTGTTGTCCTGGTACAATTATTAATAGCACCCTTATCACTTTCAAAAAATGTCCTGATTTGGAAGATAAATTATGCAGTTGTCTTATTCAGTGGGACTCTGAACTGGCCAAAATAGAGAAGAGAACGAGGTTTGAAAGGGAGGTGAAGATGACAGTGACCTCCTTTAGGGTAGGTTATTCTTCACGGCGGTGCCTCAGTACCCAGAACATAACATGTGCTCAGAAAATGTTGCATTAAAGATCCAATGTTAAAAAAAAAGAATCTAATGTAATAAAAAGATTTTCTCCTCCAAAGTGTTTTATGAAGTCATATACGACACATTTTCCCAACTCTATTATAGAGGACTTTTAGACTAATAGTATCATAGAATCTCAAAGCTACCAGGAAATTTTAAAGATTCTTAGTTCAACCGCTTTCTAATTAGACAGTAAACCTGTGAGCACAGCACTCATGTCTGTTCTGTTCAGTAAATCCTGGACACCCAGGAGCTGGCAAGTATAGGCATTGAATAAACATTTGATTCTGTTTTCAGGGCTTGCTTTTCTTCAATCATGTTTCTATCATAAGGACATCCGATAGAGGACCACTAATATTGGAGGTCTCATGCTTGATTAAACAGTCTTCCAGTCTCTGTCTGAGAAAGTCCTCTCTTGTAGTGAGCTGAAATGTGACTCCCTGTAATTTTCACATGTCCTTGTTTCTCTGTTTCTGAGGCTAACTCTTCTTCCATAGCACAATCTTTAGTCTTCCTTAACCACAGTTTCCTTTTCTTTTCTGACATGGTTTTCAGATCCTTTGCTATCCTGATCACTTTTGGACATATTCAGTTTGTCCAAAGACCTTGCTATGTCTTGAATGCCTCCTCCAAAACTCATGTTGAAACTTAATCCCCAACATGGCAGTATTGAGAGGTAGGGCCTTTAAGAAGTGATTGGGTCTTGAGGGCTCTGACCTCATGAATGGATTAACTCATTCATGGATTAATGGGTTGATAGATTGATGGGATATCATGGGAAGGGATCTGGTGGCTTTATAAGAAGAGAAGGAGAGACCTGAGCTAGCATGTTAGCGCACTCAGCCCCCTCACCAGGCACTGTCTTAGGATGCTAGAGTCCCCTCCAGCAGGAAGGCTCTCACCACAAGCACCCCCTTAAACTTGGACTTCCCAGGCTCCATAACTGTAAGAAACACATTTATTTCCTTTATAAATGACCCAGTTTCAAGTATTCTGTTATAAGCAACAGAAAATGGACTAAGACAGACCTGTAGGCGAGTTCAAAGATGTGTTTTGGCCGTGACAAAAAAAAAAAAAAATGAAAGGCAATCTCACATCGTTCCTTCAAGAAAATTAAGTTTCTATTAATATTAAGCTAAGATTATTCAGATGTTTTTAGCCATGTCTCACTACTGACTCACATATAGTTTCTCATTAATTATTTTTAATTAGGGATAGCCTCAGTATTTGAAGTTTGAGTAGAAAGAGAAGCAGAGTTTTACATGTGTTTCTGCCAAAGTCAGATCTGCTCTATCACTTCTTATGCAATCAGTGTATTGAATTGTGTTAGAGCCTTGAATTTATCCCTGTTAAATGCCACAGCAACATGCTTTACAAGAGTTTCAAATGTTTTTGCATCGTAACTTTGATATCAGAATCTTTTTTGACTCTCCCATTTTGTTGTTGTCCTCATATCTAATGGGTAAAGTATACTTGAAAGAAAGTGGCAATCACTATGATTTTATGAGCCAGGGTCTCTTAAAAAACATTTTCACAGATTTAGTACCCTGGTAGGTAACCAACGAGTTACAAAGCAGCACATCTCACTAAAAAGAAAATTTTGCAAAAATTGAAACTGTTCCGCCCTGAATGAGTTGCCTTCTAAGATATTTCCTGATCACTGGTAGGTGTAGACAGACAGGATAACCATCTGTCCAGGATGTTTTACTGGGAATTCCTGCACTGGGTGGGACTTTAGACTAGATTACCTCCAAAGATATTTTCAGCTCGTAGATTCCATGTACAGTACACATTTACTATTAATAGCCTACATTGGATTTTTTTATCATCCCATAGCTGAGAGGACATTACATTTTCCCGTGAACTAGTTATAATATAATTCCCCACACGATGGTGTCTGGGGGATGTATTTTTGGAAATTTTAAACCACTCTATGTTTCTGATATGTTCCATTTAAGTGGGGGTTAAGTTTTATCTTAACAGGAAAAAATTAAGGCTGAATGATTATTTGTTGTCAAATACACATTATTAACAATTACAATCATTGGTATGTACATAATGAGTTTTTGGGTGTTCATCTGCTGGTTAAGAGCACAACCTGTCTTGCTTCTCATCAGATTTAATCATCCATCTCTACTCTCATCTATCAATTCATCTGTTCCTCCTTCTTAGTTAATATAAATTATGGCTCTTTTGAAATAGCTAGTAATTGTGCAACTAGCTTAGAAAGTTGTAGCCCTCAAACCTAGATTGTCATCCTATAGTATAAGAAACTGCTTTGAGGCTAGAAGGAAAAAGGAAATTACAGTATTAAAACTCCACTAAGAAAAATGCCAAATTCTAGCCTATTATTTATTATGTGCTCTAATGCAGAACTCAGAACTTTTCCAGATGAGCATACATTTGATTAAACATAACTTCTGAATCCTCTAGTGGATTATTAGGGTGGTCTGGCTCTCTTTGAGAAGCAGTAATGGATTCCTATGTTATCACTTAGTGGAAGACATTTAAGAAATTTCAGCAGGTGATAAATGAAGCAAAAGTGATATTTAAATTGAGGGAAAGAATGAATGGCTCTTTCCAGATCTTATTTCTGGGGTCAATATGGTAAAAGCATTTAGAAATGTATGTATTTTTTTCTTATTTTTTTAAAATTTACATCTATAGAGAATGCTAACTAGCTAAACTTGAAAGATGATTCACTTTGTTTAATTTGGATTAAATAACCCTTCTAGCTGTATGTTTTTTCTAATTATAGGGTCCCATTTTACATAACCAATTTGAAGCATCTCTGATTCAGCTCTGAACTCTAGAGTTTGTGCTATTCTCTACTTTCTCCATTGTGGTTTTACTAGTTCACTCTAGTTTGACATTGAGAAATGGAATCAGTCCACTGGAACAACTTCCATTCTTACAGGAAACTCTGATGACACTCAGAGTGCTCTTCATTGGGTGCAATGGTGAAGAGTCTTAGCAGAACTCTTAGACTTATGTGTGGAAAAGTTTTAGCCATGTTACAGTGATGGCCAGAGATTTATTACCATTTCACTGATTTTAGGAAATATTGTCCTTTCATGGAAGACCCTGGAAATTCACGGGCTCTTTCTAGAATAATCTGAAGTTTTCTCTTTCTGTTGGCATTTTGCTTACTGAGGTCACAGCTAATTAGTAGCCTACTTAGAAGAGGAATTTCTTTTCTTCTCTGGCAGCCAGTAGAATCTCATTGGATTGTAGCTGATAAAACAATCTTCTCTTTAGTGATAGTCTGTATTCTAATTGTACTTATGAGGCCTGTAGGTTATGGTTAAAATTAAAACACAATAAATAGAATAAATTTAATACATTAGCAACTATGCAAAACAGCAGCCACAAGTGACATGGATTTGTTTCTGTGTCCTAAAACTCAGTAGTATATTAGTGCAACATAATTACAGTAATCCTATGATGTTCTGCCATACAATGGCATCTCCAACTATATGAGCTCCTTCTGTCACTAGGGTTTATTTCTAGCGCTTCTCATATTTCAGAGTAACAAAATAAAGGTATTTAGCAGTGTTTCCTCTGGGCTTGGATGCAGTGTTTTGTAAATTGATTTTCATCCATATTCATATCAGGGCTAAATCAGAGAAACAAGGAACTTGACTTTCTACTGGAGAAGAGCTAAATTGAGTATAAAGATTGAGCATTAATGTGTGTGTAGTCTTTTCTCTGACAAGTTAAGGGGGCTTTGGTAGACAGTAGGAATGATTTAACCTTGGCAGTGTCTTCTGTTCAGAGTGTAGCTTATTTGGAAGTAACAGGCTAGAGGACTTCAGCCTTATGGGTTTCTTAATGGAAGTCTTCTTTCTTGAATAGAGAATATTACAGTTTGTGGATAGAAGCTTCAAAAGGATATGAATCATGAAGGTTTAACTTACGGTAACGGGTGGGACTCTTATACCTAGTTTAGAATCAAAGAACTTGTAAAAAAAAATTGGCCTTCTTATGGGCTAATTATCTAGCTACAATTTCTACAGCATTTTTGAATGAGGTATGACTGACTCCTCTACAGATGACAATTTATCTTTGCACTGTCAGAAAGGCAGCCTGGTTTAGTAGTCGCATATCATCTATAAGACCTGTAGGCTTTTGTGAGATTAAGCTACTCATGACCTTCTAAATGTCGTCCCAGTCTCTGATCTATATCCATTGCTCTCCATCCCTTCCTCCTCACCCTCTCCTCCAGCACCCTGTGGATGTTCCCCCACTTCAGGAGTCTGGCTCTCAGAGGATTTTTTTACACTACCAGTGTGGCATGTGTAACATGACCTGGACATCCAGTCCATGACAGTAGTTTTTGGTCTTGCTCTATTATCAGCAAATATTTCTGAGCACTCATCACTAAAATATGTATTCTTATTTTTAAATTATGTAAGCATACTATATAGTACTGCATTTTATACATAAAACATATACAAATTTAAAATGATAAAAATTAAAAAACAATGTAACTGGAAAATCTATTATTTTATTCTGTGTACCAAAAGATCATCTTCCACATTTCCTGGAAAGTCTGCCCCTCACTTTGGAGAACCTGTACTGTAGTACTGGTAGTTATAATTGTGTCCTCTAACTAGATGTGCACTCTGTAAGGGTACGGAGTATGGTTAATTCAATTTTGTATCCATGAAAGTTATCATAGCATCTTGGACATTATAATAACTTAATGATCCCTATTTTGAATGAATTAACAATTTCTACCTCTGCATCTTTTTTTTTTCATTAGTGCTCCTCTCAAAAATATTTCTCCTTCCCTTCCTTTTCACCTGGCCAAAGTCTACCTGTCACCCAAGTCAAGGCCAGGTTTTTTTTTTTATTTCCTATGAATTTTTTCCTGTCACTCTAAATCTCATGTAATCTTTCTTCTCACCTATAGAAATTACTGACTCTGCTGTTCACTTAACATATCGCATTCATTGTCGGTGACAGATGACATTTTCTCCTTCACTTATGAAGCTTAGTTTGGCTGGATATGAAATTCTTGGTTGAAAATTCTTTTTTTTAAGAATGTTGAATATTGGCCCCCACTCTCATCTGGCTTGTAGGGTTTCTGCCGAGAGATCTGCTGTTAGTCTGATGGGCTTCCCTTTGTGGGTAACCCAACCTTTCTCTCTGGCTGCCCTTAAGATTTTTTCCTTCATTTCAACACTGGTGAATCTGACAATTAAATTGTGTCTTGGGATTGTTGTTTTTGAGGAGTATCTTTGTGGTACTCTCTGTATTTCCTGAATTTGAAAGTTGGCCTGCCTTGCTAGGTTGGGAAAGTTCTACTGGCTAATATCTTGAAGAGTGTTTTCTAACTTGGTTCCATTCTCCCCATCAATTTCAGGTACACCAATCAAACGTAGATTTGGTCTTTTCATTTGGTCTTTTCACATAGTCCAATATGTCTTGGAGGCTTTGTTCATTTCTTTTCACTCTTTTTTCTCTAATCTTGTCTCTGGCAGGTGTCTCCCAGTCAGGCTACAGGGGGTTCAGAGACCCACTTGAGGAGACTGTTATTGGAGCTCGAACACTGTGCTGGGAGAACCACTGCTCTCTGCACACCTGTCAGACAGGGATGTTTAAGTCTGCGGAAGTTGTCTGCTGCCTTTTGTTCAGCTATGCCCTGCCCACAGAGGTGGAGTCTAGTGAAGCAGTAGGCCTTGCTGAGCTGCCGTGGGCTCTGCCCCGTTTGAGCTTCCCGGCCACTTTGTTTACCTATTTAAGCCTCAGCAATGGTGAATGCCCCTCCCCCTGCCAGGCTGCAGCCTCGCAGGTTGATCTCAGACTGCTGCGCTAGCAGCGAGCAAGGCTCCGTAGGCGTGGGACCTGCCAAGCCAGGCACGGGAGGGAATCCCCTGGTCTACCGGTTGCTAAGACTGTGGGAAAAGCACAGTATTTGGTCAGCAGTGTTCCATTCCTCCAAGTACAGTTTGTCACAGCTTCCCTTGGCTAGGAAAGGGAAATCCCCTGACCCGTGTGCTTCCCCGGTGATGTGACGCCCCACCCTGCTTTGGCTCACCCTCCGCGGGCTGCATCCACTGTCCAACCAGTCCCAGTGAGATGAACCAGGTACTTCAGTTGGAAATGCAGAAATCACCTGTCTTCTGGGTCAATCACACTGGGAGCTGCAGACCGGAGCTGTTCCTATTCGGCCATCTTGGAAGCCACTCAGATGACATTTTCATGCTGGTATATATCTTCCCAGATACATTGCAAGCTCTTCTTTATTTCCTTATCTGTAACTCACTAGCTTCCTTTTGCTATATTTATTTAAAAGTCATTCTATAAATATTCATTGAACAGATGACAAAGCTATCAATTCACTCAGCTACCCTTTTGACTCAAAATTGTCGTAAGTGTGTTTGGCATTTTGTTTTCTCATAGATGTTTAAAAACAGCTGTTCTTCCTCCAGAGCTCCCCACTAGCTGTTATTTTCAATACTCAATTTGCAAAAAAATTTGCCATAAATTGAGGAAAAAAACTGGAGAACACAATGTAAAAAATAAGCCTCTTAAGCATGCGCATAGAATTATGGTTCTGCCATAACAGAATTAGTGGGTTTTAGATTCCTTGAGACACAATAATATGTATTTTAGACTATCCAGACATATCAAGCCAATGCTTTGGAAACTGACTAAAGAATTAATGTACCTGGTTTGTCTTAAAACAATTGGTTATAGATGCAAATCAAAACCACAATGAGATACCATGTCACACCAGTCAGAATTGCTATTACAAAAAAGTCAAAAAATAACAGATGCTGGGGAGGTTGTGGAGAGAAAGGAATGCTTATACATTGTTGGTGGTAGTGTAAATTAGTTCAGCCATTATAGAAAACAGTCCAAGGTTTCCTCAAAGACCTAAAAATAAAAATACCATTTCACCCAGCAATCCCTTTACTGGGTACATACCCAAAGGAATATAAATTGTTCTATTATAAAGACACATGAACATGTATGCTTGCTGCAGCACTGTTCACAATAGCAAAGATATGAAATCAGCCTAAATGCCCATCAATGGTAGAATGAGTAAAGAAAATCTGGTACATATGCACCATGGAATACTATACAACCATGAAAATGAATGAAATCATGTCCTTTGTAGGAATATGGATGGAGCTGGAGGCCATTATCCTTAGCAAAGTAATGTAAGAACAGAAAACCAAGTACTGCATGTTCTCATTTATAATGGGAGCTAAATGATGAGAACACATGGACACATAGAGGGAAACAGTACACACTGGGGCCCATCAGAGGGTGGAGGGTGGGAGGAGGAAGAGGATCAGGAAAAATAACTGTGGGTACTAGGCTTAATACCTGGGTAACAAAATAATCTGCACAACGAACCCCCATGACGCAAGTTTACCTATGAAACAAACATGCACATGTACTCTTGAACTTAAAATAAAAGTTAAATAGAAAAAAAAGAAATAAACAAGAGTTCTAGAGAAGGATGGTAGAGTTGATTGCACAACAATGTGAATGTACTTAATGTCACGGAACAACAAACCCCCATGTTTACCTATCAACAGACCTGCACATGTACCCCTGAACTTAAAACTTAAGAAACAAACAAACAAGCAAACAAACAACTGCTCATGCCTTTCTATGTTCAAACGCTCTGTATAAGATCTAAATTCCTAAGTTCTGAGAAGCCCCTTCATTCAGAAGACTCTGGTGTTTTCTTTGGGCAGCTCCTTGGATGTGAGCTCTCAGCATATGTGATGTATAGATTAGGAATTCAAGAGCCTTAGATATTGGCAGCCAAACCAAAGGAGGCAGAGTTCATATAAATAAGACTTCAGCAAAATCTTCAACAAAAGTGATTTCTGTCTGATTACATAAGTATGGTAATGAGTTCTGGCTTTAATTCCGGTATACTTTCTGCAACCCTGGTTCATGCTCACATAGAGAAATAAGGAAAGCATTTTTAAGCTTAATAAAAACATTTCTAGTTGCCTGGAGCCCAGAAATAATTACAATTTCACCTTCATGTTCTAAAACTGTATGATTTCTTTCCATCAAAAGTCTAGTAGCATTTTTTATTCTGTATGGATGGTGCTTAATAAATGCTTGTTGGATGACTTAGAGTAGAAAATAAATGTGTTTATTGATGAGGGAATGATATTCATGTTCTACAAAATATCCCATTTCTCCCTCAGTATGTATCTTGGCAGAGTTAATTAATATATTCCATTTGTTTCTAAAAGGATTTGAAGATATATTCTTCTATTTTATCCTCACAATCGCCCTCAAAGGTAGGTGGGGCAGGTCTTATCCATCAGTAAATAGGTGACAAAATTGGGCCCAGATAGACTTGAACACTTCTAGTCTTAGTCTTGGAGATTCTTTCTCTAAAAGCTATGTATGTGTGTGATGGGGCAGGAAAAGAGAAGAAAAAAAACACTCGTATGATGTGCTGATGGCATTTAGATGTACAGCGGGAGGGAAAGCAGGGTTTCTCAACCTCAGCACGACCAACGTTTTGGGCTAGATTCCTGCTGTGGGAGGGTGCCCTGTGCATTGTGGCATTTTCAGCATCATCCATGGTCTTTATACAGGAGCAGTTGGATGCCAGTAACAGTTTCCTCACTCCCCAGTCATGACTTTCAAAAAATGTCTCAAGACATTGCCAGGTATTCCCTGGGCAGTCAAGCTGGCCCCCCATTGAGGACTCCTGAAGTAAAAGGGAAACACAAATGGCTTAGAATTTCCCAGGAAACATAGAAGAAGCCAGAATCAGACCTCTTAATTTGGTCACTTGTTTTGTTAACCATTTATTGAGTTCTTATTATATATGTAAGCTATCATAAGTTACTAGAGGCGGTATAAAGACTGGGAGGACGTGACTCATCCAAGGAGAAATTTACAGTCTGGTAAAGAAGGAAAAGGTCATGTGGACAATTGTGATAGGTGTTTATTGAATGCCTACTGAATGCAAGGTACTATACTAATTATGTTCCCTTTTATGGCAAGACTCAAATGGGGATAAAGTACACAGAAAAAAACAGTGCTGTAGGGATATTTTCTATGCACAAAGAGTTTTCAAACTAGAAGGGGGAAAAATGGAAAGAACTAGAAAAGAACAACATTGAGTGGAAAATAAAATGTGGCTGCTTTTAAAAAGTTATAATAAAATGTTTAATGTGATTCTGAAAATTACAGGAATTTTCAAAAGCAGAGCTAGAGAAGTAGGAGGAAGTTTTAAGCATATGGGAATAGAGGTGGGCTGTGGGGAAGAAATTCTAGATCAGAGGAGCAAAGGCATGGGGTACCCAGATTAAATACTCTTGGATTTTCTCAAACCTACTACACATTTCCATCACATTTTACTCTATTTTATTTGCAATTTTGATGACCCTAAGTCTACCTGTTCTTCAGCATCATGATTTTCTCTCCTCTACTGATCTTGATGTTTATTTTTTAAACTCATTTTTAACTTAGATGACGGGTTGATGGGTGCAGCAAACCACCATGACACACGTCTACCTATGTAACAAACCTGCACATTCTGCACATGTATCATGGAACTTAAAGTAAAATTTAAAAAAATTTCCTTATTATAAAAGTAACATAGATTTAGAAATGATAATAAAATGAAAATGATAAAATACACACAATCCTACTACCTAGACGAAAACCCTCTTTAGAGCTTACGCTCATTAAACTGCTTCATAATGTCATTTTTTGCTTAGCACAATATTATGAACATGTTTTCCCATTTGAATAAATTCACATCTGCAGCACCTTTCAGTGATTAAATATGTCTGTTATTTAGGTATATCCTCATTTATCAACAACTCTTCTATTACTAGTTTTTCTTATTGCTTTAAACTTCTCTTTATCACAGGCAAGGCTAGAATAATTTTTATTACAGCTACATTTTCCTTAATTACTTTCTTAGAATAATTTCTCAGTAGTTTCCAATATTTTCACCCTCAAGGACTCCTTTTACTGGGTCACATGTTTTGAAAGATACAATCTACCAAACTACATTTGGTATGAAAAAATTTAGTTTACTATTTTTTAATTAACCAAAGACTTTGATAACTACTTATCAAAACTTTGGGTCAGCTGAGATTTAAAAACGGATATTTACTGCATTAAGATGATATAATTCCAGCCTAAAGCAAAGAACCTTGATATGAAAGTTAGCCTCTGCAGCCTTATCTTAAGGAACTAGATTCTTTCTGTGAGATTTTCTGTAATATTAAAATTCACTTGTAGACACCCTTTTCCCACATTTGCGACTGCTCAAAGTTAGGGCTGAAATACTTGAAGTCGGTGAGTTGCTTTAAACTGCAAAAGAGAAATATAGGCATGATTGTCTAATTACATTAAATGTTTACTCTATTTTCTGTGGCCTGATGGTAGATTTCACATAATTGCTTTTTATCTGAAAACACCTTGTGCTTGGAATAAATTACTGGAGAACAAGGTTTTAGTCTGATGTGGGTTCCTTTTTTTTTTTTTTTTTTTTTTTAAGTGGTCCAAGTAGATTATTTCTGACAGTCTGTGAACAAGAGTAGCCAAACTCAGGGAGTCCTGAAGTTACCCTTCAAATGTGTGTTCATGTATACAACCTATTCTGTCCCTTGCCAGAGAGTGGCAGCTGCAGGGCTAATCTATAGAGAAGCTGAGAACCTCACTCATTTCCAAAACTGAATTCACTTTGGCCATTGCTGCTTGTCAGTTACATTGCTTCGTTTAATGGTATGATGTCCAGAATAGCTCTCTGGAACCAAACAAGAAGGAAAGAACTTCAGTGCTTACTTGGACATTCTAAATTTAGATCATTTTCTAACTGTTTACTGCCAGTGGGTTAAATGGTTTGGCTCCTGGACTGAAGTTTGGGTTACAGAATTCTTAGGCGGGTCCCTTCTTGCAGCATTCTGAATTCTGATTAGGCTTTGCAGCGGCTGTGCATATGCATGATGGTGCTGGTGGAATGGTTCCCAGGACTGTTCCAGCATTCATTTCAGGACAGATTTTTCAGTGTGGGTCTTCTATATGATGGTGAGTCAGGCGGTGCAGTGGTAGAGAGCGTCAGTATTGAGCAGTCTCAACTGAAGCCGTGATTGGCGGCTTGCCATGATGTCTGATGACAGAGTATCTGCCACGCTGGGGGCATTTTACACCTAGCATCTAGATATTAATTTGTTAACATTTTGGGAAACATTTGAAATTACACTGTAATCTTGCTGTTTCTTAGACAGTAAATTCCAGCATAGAGTGGGCTGCTGGTTTCCTGTTGAAGGGATCTTAAGCCTTGAAGCATCCAAAGAAATTCATTTAGGCAGCCCAGTCACCTAGAAAGCAGGCTTACTGCATGGGCTCTGTGTATGGCATCAGAGTGAGACTTCCTGTTATAGAATTGTTAAAGGACCATAACAAAGATAGAGTCAAGTTGGAGAGGGCTTGGACACATCCAGATTTCTGCCAATGCCCTCTGGGGTCCCTTGGGGCAGTAGCTGCCTAGGGCAGTGAGCCTCTGGGCTTTGTCTTCCTCTGAATTCCATAATGAATATCCAAAACCTTTTGTTTAGTAAAAAGAATTTTGTTGCAAAAAATTGCAATAAAAGAACAACAAAAATAAATAAAAGCAAAGCCTTCAAAACTCGGATATGAAATAGCCAGTAAGTATACACAGAAACTGAGGCGAAGAAGTGTCAAAAATTCACACTTAAGTTCAAAGACTATAAGTTCAAGGACCACAATTGGACCTAGATCTCACCAGACTTTTGTCCACAACTCTTTTTGCCACCTTTTTCCCACCCTCCTCCCTCCCTCCTCTGCCCTCCTCTTGCTCCTCTCCTTCCTCCTTTTCATCACCTTCCTCCTCTTATTCTTTTTCTTATTTCTCTTCCTCTCTATTCTTACTCTTACCTTCTTCCTCCTCTGGTTCATCTTCTTCCCTCTCCCTCTTCCATTTTTCCCCTGCCTTCTTTTTCTTCTCTCTCTCTATATTTTTATTGTTGGTTAAGGCAGAAACAGCTAAATTGTTGTGTGATATTTATGTAAACAAGTATTTAGCCATTTGTCCTAACTTAATGCCAGTTCATCTTAGCTCTAGCTAGGGTTTTAATCTAAGGATATTTTGAACTTGGATTTTTCATATCAGCTTTCCTATTGACCCATTCTAAGTAAGGTGTTTGGTTTGAAGATTTTCTTATAATAAAACTTGACTGATTTTCAAGACACACGTAGACTCACACATACCTGCCTGGTTTTGTAAGAGTTGGCAGGTTGCTAGCTGAGAGTCACTCTCTCCTCCCTATTGTCATTTCATACCAAGGACATTACCTAGAGATTTTTACAAATGAAATTTGAAAAAAAAAAAAAGTGCCCGTCCTAATGACAAATGGTCAAGAGAAAATGACAAGGTGGGGCTGTTTGAGGATATACTGAATACTTTACTGATCCTAAGCCAAGCAGAGCCATTAAAAAATAGTTCCCATGGCATTTCTGGCCTGAGCAGAAACAGTTATATAAGTCATGGGAAAATGCCTCTTCTCATGAAATGCCTCAGCTGAGTTCACATTATCTGAAGCTGTGATTCTCAAATCTGGGATCACCAGGACGTTTTCAGCAAAGCCTGTGCAATTGTCAACCAGCAGCTCTGTCTCCCTTTGAATTGTTTGTTCTGATAGACAAGGGTCTCCCCCAGGTGACCTCATTTCCTCCCTTTCTCCTCCCCTTTCCACACTGGAAAAAAATCTCACTTTCTGTTTGTTTGTGCTTTTTTTCCTCTCTCCTTTCTATCAATGACTACTGTTATGGATTGAATCACAGTCCCCCAAAATTCATATGTTGAAGCCCTAATCCCCAATGTGGCTATATTTGGAGATAGGTCCTTAAGGGAAGTAATTAAGATTAAATGAGGTCCTAAGGATGAAGCCCTAATCAATAGGACTGGAGTCCTCATAAGAAGAGGAGGAGGCACCAGAGGTCTCTCTCTGTGCTCACACAGAGGGGAGGCCATGTGAGAACACAGGGAGCAGGCAGCTATCTGCAAACCAAGAAGAGGCCTTAGCAGACACCAACCCTACTGGTACATAGGTCTTGGACTTGTAGCTTCCAGAACTCTGAGAAAACAGATGTATGTCGTTTTTGTTGTTTAATACCATCTGTGGTATTCTGTTATGGAAGCCCAAGGTGACTAATACAGCTACTTAACAAAAATGTCACGTGAACCTTCCTAAGCCACTAGGATGTCACAAAAATACTATTTCTTTGGTAGATTCAGATCGATAATGAGGTGTTAGTTGGGCATGGTGGCACACACCTGTAGTCTCGGCTACTTGGAAGGCTGAGGTGGAAGGATCACTTGAGCCCCGGAGTTCAAGTTCACTCTGGGCAACATGGCGAGACCCCTCTCTCTAAAAATAAACAGATAAATAAATAACATTTCCTGTCTCTTTGAAAAAAATTGTCTCTGATCCAGGAGTCTGAAAAACAAGAGTCTGGAAAAGCCAGCTTCTTCCGGCTGCATGCCTGCCTAGATGTGGGTTGTTCTGTGTGTTTGTGTGTGTGTGTGCATGTCTGTGTGTGTGTTTTCATGTAACAGTCACATACAAGCTCATGTATATTTGTTTTTACTATAGCTAACATTAGTTGAGCACTTACTACATGTGACAAACTGTAAGTACTTTGCATGCATTACCTCATAATCCTCACGCTAACCCTCTGAGGAAGATACTCTTATTTCCTTTATTTATTTTAGTTTTATTTTAAAATTTCAGTTCTTTTCATTTTGTTTTCTTCATTTGTTTGTATCATCTTTTGACTAACATCTCACAATTATTTCCTTTATTTAATTGGAGAGGAAACCCATATTAAAAGAGTCAGGGAACATGCCTTCTTTCAACTTCCCATTAGTGAGAGAAAGAGTCAGGACTTGAACTCAGGCAGTCTAATTGTAGAGCTCATGTTCTTACTACCTGATTGCAGTGCTTCCCATTTTTGTTTATAGCCCTTGTTTTTTATATCTTCTAATGTTCTATGTTAAAAAAAATTCTGAGGCAACTTCCAAAGACATATAAAATATAACATGGCATATAGGCAAAGATGAAGAAAAAATAAGGATGAGAATGGAACTTGGATCTAGAAATGAAGGGAATGTATATACTTGTGTTTAACTTGAAGGTCTCTGGCAGGCAACAAGAAGATGGAAACCTGTTCATTCTTGCAAGGTAAAGTGTTCTCAAATTTAAAATAATTGCAATTGCTCAGCAGAAGCACAACTCCTCTTATAATTAAGCCCAGGCAAGAATTTCTCCTAAATGTGCATGTGTGATACAGTGAACAAAACCGTCAGCCTCCTTAGTGCCGATGAAGTGACAAGTTCGCTGTGCCTGCCACAAGTGCACAGATATACGTACATGCACACATAACTGCATCCTCATCAAGCTGCTTATGTCACCAGCTATTCTTCTTTATTCTCTCACCTTGTGGCTGTGGGTCAAAAATCAGCAAAAAATCAATGACAATACCTACATCATTGTGAGAGTCCAGGGATGCATTAATAGTGAAACTGAAAACTATGAAATTGGTGGGGGGAACCAGGATTTAGAGAATGTTTTCTCAATCTGGGGGTTGTGACCTAGGAGTAAATTATGAAATCAAGATGGTGGGCCATAATCAGTACTTTTTAAGATGAAGGAGAATAGAATAGAAAAGTTCAGAGTGAAATGCAAATGGCAAAGGTGAACTCTGTATTATGAGATGTTTCAGTACATGTATGCAGGTATATGTACATGTATGTACATTTATAACTAAAATGATATTGTTGTTCCAAAAGGTAACCTATAAAATATATAAAAATATATAATAATATATATAAAAATATAACCTGTTTGCTTATATTTACAAAACTGAATATTTCTGTTTTACATATATTCAGATTTAGCCATTTTAATTATAGGATGCGTAGTAATAAGATCCTATAGCACTGGTCAGATTCAGTGTATATTCTTAGAGGATATAAGAATAAGAAGCTAGAAAAGTGTCTCTGGTAATTGCTGAAGAAAGGACTATCGATCCAGAAAAAATTGTTTTTGGCTTGAATATGGATGAAATGGATCAAAACCTAGGCCATACTACTAGAACATGGAATAGCACAAATAATGACAGCAACCCTCTACAGTTAGTTACTATGACAGCTTCCCTTAAATTTGTGCATTATAAAGTCCTTACACTTTGGGGTGAAAAAAAAATGTTCTTTGAGAACATAAGTATATCATTTTGTTCACTTAGCATGAGCCTTCTTTAAGGCATTATGAAATTTCGTATCAGACTTGGGTAATAAAAACTGATACAATATGTACTTAATAAAAGATAGTTCTTTTTATTATTTTTTTTAATGTTTGTATTAAGATGTTTGCATCTGATCTAGGCAATAGAAAACCACCTGGCAGGTTCAACTTCACATATTTGCTCATATTTCTTCATTTTTATAGTCCCTAAAGAGTCTCCATAAAATTTCTATCTAGGACATTGAAAACACTTCTCATTCCCAGGGGTGATAACTCACAGGGTCAATTAACACATATACACAGACAACTCTCAAGTGCCTGTCTCCATTGTAGACCTCGATTCTAAGTAATTAGACTTGTGTATTTATTTGCCTACTTAGATATCTTAAAGACAACTCAAAATCAATGTCTTAAGTCAAAATGATGAAATCTAGTCTTCCAATGCTGTATTTCTTATCCTAGGGCATGATCGAAAGCCACAAAACAAGGAGTTATTTTTGACACCTCAATCTCTTACTTACTTCATCTCTCCATATTGAATCCATCAACAAGTCCTGTTCATTTTTCATTCAAACGTCTTTTGAATCCTCTGTCTTCAACTTTACCAACACTTTAGTCAAACTACCAGGATTTCTTCTCTGGATCACTGTAATAATCTCCTAACCTACCTATATCTATTCTCTTCTTTTTTAAACCTATTCCCCAAATATAGCCAGAATTATATTTTTGAAATTCAAGCTTAAAACGTTCCAATGGCTTCATGATATACTTGGGATAAAAATAAAACTCTTTAACATTCTGTTTCAGTCAGAAGATACACTCTAAAGAGTTTAACTGAAAACAATTTATTAAAGATGCTATCGTAGAGGTGGGAGAAGATTTAAGGGAATCAACAAGGAATGTTGGGACCCACCAGTAACAATCAGCTGCGGGATTCCACTTCCACCCCTAGGCAGAGAGAGAAGGGGAGGGAACTGGAACTGTGGGAGAAGTTGTAGTCACAGCAGCCTGCAGTCACTACCAGAACCATGGTACGGCAGGAAGAGCAGGAACGAATACCCCGACTGCCTTCCTTGCTCACCTTTTGTTCTCCTGCTGGTGCCTCTCATTCACTAACCCAGACTTAAGACTAGAAGGCTGCAGAGCCCAGGTGGTGCATCGTAGGAGTGAGCTTCCCAGAGCACAGAATAGGGAGGAGAAGAGCAGAACATTGATTTGGAAACTTATAGGGCAGAACTGTTTCATGGGCAGCACCAAAAATAAAATTAGATTCAGTCTAAGTCATATGGAATACACTTAAAATTTTTTAAAATAATCTAACTGGTAAGAGATCACTATCCCCCACCCAAATCCCTGGTTGCTTAGACAAAGAGTCACTAAGTTGCTTTGGGCTACTGTCTTAGTCCATTTGTGCTGCTATAGCAAAATAAATATGAGTCTGAATAATTTATTAAGAACAGAAAGTTATTTTCTCACAGTCCTGGAGGCTGAAAAGTTTAAGATCAAGGTGTCAGCAGGTTCCGTTGTCTGGTGAGAAATGCTCTCTGCTTCCAAGGGGGTGCCTTGTCACAGCCTTCTCCAGAGGGAGGAACACTGTGTCCTTGTATGGTGGAAGGCAGAAGGCAAGCAAGCCGACTGCTGTGTGAAGCCTCTTTTATAAAGGACTTAATTCTATTCATGAGAGGAGGGACCCTTATGACCTAATCATCTCTTAAAGACCTCACCTCTTAGTTTCAACACCTGATTTTAGAGGGGACACATTAAAACCACAGTAGGTTCCTAAAAATGATTGCCCTTCTTATGCTTACCTTAGGCAGAACCCTAGAGAATGGGCCTTGCTTAACGAAGCAGGAAGCAAGGATAATAAATTTGCATGACAATATATTTTTAAATGCATGGAAAAAATTCAGGCTGGTAGCAGATTAATCAGCGGAATGTCAAGACACTTTGTTTAACAATCTCCACCCTCCTCCATGTGGCCTTTCCCCTTACTTGGTCCTGCTGATCCAACAGTAGACTAACAAAGTTGGAAGCAGTGACCTGCTCAGTCTTCCCTTTGTTGTCTGGAAGTCAGGACCAGTTCTTATTTTCAGATGCCTTTGCAAGATAGCTGGTTTATATCCTGACTTTACATACCTCTTGAAAATCTTTTAATCGGACACACTTTACAGAAATTCATTCATCACACATTTTTGAGCACTTGCTACGTTCTATGCAACTACAATAGATGCTGGATGACATAATAGATGCCAGACAGTGTGAAGATACAAACTCCTTGACTTCCCATTTTATATGAAGTTTGAGATAGATGTTGAAATTTTTCATTATTAAATTGGAAAGCATTGCATGTTTATTTTTGGCTTGCTTCCTTAGGCTGTTTTTCTTTGCAATAATAGTCACCCTGTCTGTGGGTCGATCTGTAGAGAGTAACTACACAGGTGGCTGGCATGACTGTGACAAGTTTTCAGGGCAAACTTGTGGTTTGGGAGGCATCTGTGTTTTATGTGGGCTGGAGATAGGCTGTTTATTTCCTTTCTCTAGAAACAGGCAGTGACAACAATTGAAACTATTGCCTGTAGGAGTTTTGACTACTCATTAAGTCACTTACAGACTACTGAATGCATCTAGTCCAGTTGGGTAGGTCCCTACCTCTGGTGGGACTGCATCTTTCATTTCCTTTTTACCTTGCCAGAAAAGGAGGCAAAACACTTTCCACATAATCGAGTCAGAGAAAATATATATTTGTACATTCCTTATAACCTTTCCACGTTCACTTTTGATATCATGAAAATTGTGTCAATATTATGGCACCGGAATAGACTATTCCTTCATCACCCACTTTTAAGCCCCTGCAGTGATCTCTGCACTATAATAGATGATGGGGAATAGAGACATGAGTGACCCCAGACCCTAATTTTAAGCGATCTACAGTCTGGTGAGAGATTCAGAAAATAAACAGTAATAATAGACAAGAGAAATACTGTGAAAGAGGAAAACACAAGATTCACGAGGGGCCAGAGGAGAGATTGATTAATTTTTCCAGAGGGGAGTTTTCAGAGAGGAAGTAGCCTTGCATTAATACTTGTAGGATGGGCTTATAGAAATTGTAGAAACTCTTCAGGCATCAAGAGAGGGGTGGGCCTTCTAGACACAGGAACTGTGAAAGTGAAGTGTGGAGAAATGAGAGAGCCTGGGTGTTCAGGGAAGTGTGAGTAGCCTTACAGAGTGGTGTTCTCAAAAACTGTGTTCCATGAGGTCCAGCTCAGGTTGTTCCTTGGATAAAGGGGCCCATGGACAAAAAAGTTTGAGAAACCTAGATGAAACAAATGGAAGCAGATTTCCTTTTTAAATGTGTTATTGGTTTTTCTTATTATGTGATTTTCTTAATGACAATGTGCTTTGTGATTCTTTAAAATGAGGGTAGAGTATGATGACGTGATCAGATTTCTTTGTCCATAGCGTCATTTGTTTGTGGCACATCTATTTGGGAAATGCTGGGTAGAGTATAGAATGCTCATGGGAGAGTGTTCAGAAATGGGGTTAGTAAGGACAATAAGGGTAGAATGTAAAACCTGTATCCATGCTAAGTATTTATGGGTGCAGGAGGGATTTAGAATGTGTTGAATATTATGACCCACATGACCAAATGTATTAGTCTGTTCTCATGCTGCTGATAAAGGCATACCTGAGACTGGGTAATCTATAAAGACAAAGAGGTTTGATGGACTCACAGTTTCACGTGGCTTGGGAGGCCTCACAATCACGGCGGAAGGCGAACGGCACATCTTACATGGCAGCAGGCAAAGAGAGAATGAGAGCCAAGCAAAAAGGGAAACCCATTATAAAACCATCAGATCTCATAAGACTTATTCACTACCATGAGAACAGTATGGGAGAAACCGTCCCATGATTCAATTATCTCCCACGGGGTCCCTCCCACAACACCTGGGAATATGGGAGCTACAGTCAAAGATGAGATTTGTGTGGGGACACAGCCACACCACATCACCAAATGTTCATTTTAGGCAGTTGTGTTAGAAGCAGAGTGACTGAGGCCTGAAGAGACTGAGATGGGAGTAAGGAGATGGTTTGTTTATCCTCCCTCCCTCCTTCCCCACCACCCTCCCTCCCTCTCTTCTTTTCCTTTCCTTTCCCTTCTCTTCTCTTCCCTCTCTTCCCTCCCTCCCTTTTAATCTGACACACTTTACAGAAACTCATTCATCACACATTTTTGAGCACTTGCTATGTTCTATGCAACTACAATAGATGCTCCCTTCCTCCCTTCCTTTCTTCCCTTTTCTTCCTAGCTTCCTTTTCTCTCCCTTCTAACATGTATTAAGTGCCCAAGATGCAGAGAATATAACGTCGAACAGAACAGACAAAAGAGTCTGCTCTGATAGAACTTACATTCTAGTGCAGGGGACAGATACAGACAAAGTGTGGGGGAGGGGCACTACTAATTTAAGGAGGATGGTTAGGGAAGGCTCTAGAAAAAGATCTTTGAGGTATCTAGTGGAAGGTCAGTCTGGGCAGAGAAACTGCTAATGCCATGCTCTGAGGTGCTGCATTTGCAGTGACTTTGGGGTGTCCAAATAGAGACTTCCTAAAGGCAGTTGAGTATATAGAAAAGGAATTCAAGGAAGAGGTGAAAACCCAAGACCCATGTTTGAGAAACGTTCCCATATTGTTTCCATCTGAAGGAATGGGCATGGCTGGAGTGGGGAAAATAGCCAGAACAGACCAAGTGTGGAATCCAGGACAGAAGATAAAATTGCAGAGTTCAAAGACTACCTCTCTGAACAAAACCAGAAGAGAGAGGCCACCTAAGCTAAAGAAAGTGTGTGTATTATCAGTGGCTGCACACGCTGACTTTGAACATTATCTGCCAAGGAAGAATGGTCAAGAAGGGGTTTAAAGACTTAAACCAAGTTCACTGGAATACAGGTGAGGCAGTTGCCTTCTTTTTTAACAGGGAAGAGTCATTTGAAGAGTGTTCTTCAAATGGAGAGGGCAGAGCTGAAAAACAAACAAAATGAAGCAAGAGCAAGACAATAAAAACACAACCTAGTAATTTCAGAATTCTGAGCAGAATAGTTCACATTTCACAAGAGCTGGGGACTTCAACCTTGGGGCAGACCATCCCTGTGGGTTTCTATAGATATCCAAAGGAAGAGTAGACTCTTTCTGGAATGGAGGAATTTGAGCACCAAGGAGCCAAAAGGCTTAAAAAGGTAATGCAGACTGTTATTTTAACAGTGGACAAACGTGTACCTTTGCAAGTTGTTTATTTAATTAGGAGGTAGAGAGTCGTGAAGAGGCCATGATTTTAAAACCAGGCTGCCTGGACTCCATCCCAGCTCCACCTCTTAGTAACTATTGTGACTTTGACAATTTCCTTAGCCTCTCTCTGTTTCTGTTTGTTTCTGTAAGTTTGTGTTAGAAAGAATGTATGACTTACAGAATCATAGTAAGTACTAAACAAATTAAATCATGTAGAGCATGGTGCTCATAAGAAGAACCCTAAACATTAGCTCATTTGTTAACTGTGTATACATAAAGCTTAATCTCAATCTAGATTTACACTTCCCTTTAAATGGGTTATAAATTATTGCTTGTCTTTGGAATATTGGAGAGAGACCCTGGATCCCACGAGGCAGGAAGAGACAAGCTGTTGAAGAAGCAGGCACCCAGAAAGAAAGAAGTCATCACTGTCAGAGTAAGTGTAAACCAGGCTCAATTTGGAGAACGCAGAAACATTCTCTGGAGATTGCCAGAATTCACTGGAAGGAGAACCACGTAGAAGTTTTGCCTTCCCATAATCAAGCAGGAGGGGAGCAGAGCCTTCATAATTTGGATGTTATCTGTCAATACGATGTAATTTTAGGTGTCATGGTAGAGTCCTGGGCTGACATACTAGCTACACATAGACCAGAGGGGTTCTCTCCCCAGCTCCTCTGTAGAGGAAAATATGTCACTGGGCCCTTGACAAAAAGATGTGCTTTTGTTTCTGCTGAGAGTCTGCAGGAAGGAATGTTCTACAGTATGATTGTCCTCCTTCCTCTGCTTCTAGAAAAGATTAAGGCAGAAGTCAAGCCAGAAATAAAACTGCTCTTTACTTCTGTCATTGGAGATTAAGCAGATGATGACTAATCACCTGTCCTTCTCTCTGTTTCCAAGCCAAATGAAAAACTTTCAGTACAACTCAGGACAGCTTTGGGGCTCCGTCCTCGTGTTGTAATGATGTATAGATCTGGACTGCGCCTCTCAGACACAGGGACGACGAGCTTGTCTGGAGTTTGAAAACATATTTGTAAACTCCTGAGGGAACTTTGGAGGCTGAATAGATTCTCAGCCTCTAGCCTAGTTCTTTGGATTGAAAATCTAGACCACATCTTTTTATTTGATAAAGCGTCTGTGTCTCTGTGTATATTATGCTTATTACTTCTTTCACTTTTTCCTCATTACGTTTAGTCAAAGAGCTGGTATTCCACTTATAGAAAAAGGGATTTCTGAAGCATTTAAAAACAATCCTTAAAAGTTCTGCCATCTGTTTCTGAATCATTCAGAAAACAAAGTGAAGAAATGCAAACCTTTTTCATAAAACTGGTGGCATATCAGCAGCTCTACTCTTAGGGGGCATGTGACTTGTTTTTCATGTGGATCTCTCAGTTTCTTGACTCTGGGGTTCCAATCCCAATTCTGATTCCCACTGAACAACAAAAAAGTACTATGCTGTAGCACTATTTTATCATTTGCACTTTGAGAAGTCCAGTCTTCATAAGTGTGTGTGTGCCTCGGGGCATTTAGAAATGCACTAACATAGTTGGCAAAG
Organism: Homo sapiens; assembly: GCF_000001405.40. Classification (NCBI taxonomy): domain Eukaryota; kingdom Metazoa; phylum Chordata; class Mammalia; order Primates; family Hominidae; genus Homo; species Homo sapiens. The sequence goes on from NC_000012.12 coordinate 67,808,689, forward strand.
AGCAGTGGGCAGGTGCAAAGGGTTTTCTTTTTTTCTTTTTTGAGACAGAGTCTCACTCTGTTGCCCAGGCTGGAGTGCAGTGGCACAATCTCGGCTCACTGCAAGCTCCGCCTCCCGGGTTCACACCATTCTCCTGCCTCAGCCTCCCGAGTAGCTGGGACTACAGGCGCCCACCATCACGCCTGGCTAATTTTTTGTATTTTTCAGTACAGACGGGGTTTCGTCGTGTTAGCCAGGATGGTCTCGATCTCCTGACCTCGTGATCCATCCGTCTTGGCCTCCCAAAGTCCTGGGATTACAGGCGTGAGCCACCGTGCCCGGCCAAGGGTTTTCAATGAAGATAAACTGTTAAGACATTTTCTTCTCCTTTTGCTTCATTTTGTGTCTCCTTGCAGTATTTGTGTTTTTTTCCCCCTCTAATATTGAAGACATTTTCTATTTGATTTGTGATTCAACATTCAATGTGGAAAGTCTGCTCTCTAAGATCCAGATAGAAACTAATATACTGCTTTAGGTAATCTTACTCTATGACCTTCCTCACTAGATGCCTAATGTAGGACAAGATTCTCCTTTTATAGTTTCTGAGTGCCTTCTTTTTATGTGGGAGATTTAGCAAATGATGCTTGACAAATCCTTTCTCATAACTTCTAACTATTAAAATGTCCTTTTTGTGAGTCATGTTTTCTTTTTACCTTTACTTCGGGAGTTTTAGATTTATGTTCCATACCCTGCAAAAAATAAAGATTTTTCACAATTTAAAAATAAAGTCTACTTCATGCAGAGGGCAAAACTCAATACCACAGAGATGCCACCAGAGGCCTGATAAATAAATGGATTAAGAAAGGATCTGGATAAAGTTTGCAGGGTCACAAAAGACGTAGGTAAACTCTGGGCTATGCCTCACTATAGTAGATCAGATTTGCCCAGTTGTAAGTAACAGAAATTGACTCTGGCTAGCTGACACACAAGGAGAAAAAGGGGGAATTCAGCAGAAGGCAACTGGAGAATCACAAATATATAAAGGAACAGTTAAAAACAAAACTATAGGAGGAGAAGTATGAAAGCAGCTTCAGGGACCTCAACATTCAAAGCCCATGGACTTTTTCTTCAAGGAGCTCTTGAATATAACTGAGCTCCATGGACCCCAGTACTTGTGTCTCTGTTGTTCACACCTCAGATTCCTGGGACTCAGTATCCAATGGTCCCATTTTGGTCAGTTGTCTGTTTTTATGGCAGTTATGGCAGGATCCTAGAACACAGACTCAATTCTTAGAACCACACCTGTAGAAGTAAGCAGGTATTAGTTTGGGCCCTCTAAGAAGCAGATGCCAATACGGCATTAGGCATGCAAATGATTTACTGGATAAAACACCTATGAAAAATAAAAGAGTGGAACAGAAGATACCATGATGCAAGTCTCACCCCTATGAGGGAGAGAGAAAAGGAAGCAGATTTGAATTGCTTCCTGAGAACTTAAGACTGCAGCACTAAGGAAATTCTGGCCAAGCCAATTCAAATTCTTGAGCCAAAGTCACCTATCAGAAAATTCTTACAACCTCATTAGAATGAGCCTGCCTTAATATCCCTACCATTCTCAGTCATTGGCCAAGAGCAGCCCAGGGAAAAGATGGCCTTGGATATGAGTATTGTGGTAGATTCAGAGTGCAGCAGCTGGGGCCATCAATCAATGATATCCCTCATAGCAGGAGATGTGAGTAGTACATTTCCATGGCTGCCACAGAGCTGTTCCTCAATAAGAGACAATCACAGACAATGGGAAGGTCACCCCAAGAGATGTCCTCTGCATTTGCCTTTTCAGTTAAACTCTTGAGAATTGAGTGATGCCTCTGTTTGAGGCTCTATTGGTACCAAGCCATGGGTCTGATCGGACTCAGTAATTTCTAATATCCATTCGACTTTGGCTTTGCATTATCCTGTTTTGTCACATTCTATTTTAAGATCCTACCAAATGAAATAGAGTTGAAACAAATGTCCTCTATAGTATTATATGAAAGTCATCCCTTGGGTAATGATACATAAGACCCTATCAAATGAAATAGAGTTGAATCAAATGTCCTCTACAGTATCATAGGAAAGTCATCCCTTGGGTAATGATACCTAAGATGGCTGGCCCTGGGTTGTTTTGCTAATATAAGTAGATTCATTCACTGGTTTGCTCTGTTTTTTTGTTTGCTAGGAGCCATATCTATAGAGCTACACTTTGGCTGCTACTTTAACAACAAACAGAGCATGATTTTAATGGCCAAAACACGACTGCTTTCATGGAGGAAAACAGGAGTTGAAAATAGAAAAAGATCAGAAATGGCATGTTGATGGGGAGAAGAGGTGCCCAGTATTCCAAGGAGAATCCCCCTGCCCTGCTACATATAATTGATTCTGGCTTTCCCATCTACAGAAGTCTCAGGATTCACTTAAATTACAGTCTTAGCTTTGTTTTCTCCTTAGCTGCTCACTAAAAGATCCAAGTGAGTTCAAAAATTCCACTGACTATGTAGACATGCAGGCCCTAAGAGAAAAGTAGAGACTTGCTCAAAACCACTCCATAGGTATACCTCTGATACTGCACACATACTATATCCTAGGTCTCCTCTGAGACCTGGTACATGTCTTCTGTTCTTTTTTCAAATGTCTTCCTTTGCAACTTTCAGTTACTCTTTTGCGAACACGTTATAATGATATTTACTAAGCACTACTTAATGGCATAAATTCTACCTTAAGGCCTTAAAAGCTTTATTTTCAGATGTCTGTAAAATCTTGTTTAAGAATAATATGGGTCCAAATAAAATTCTTATTTGACTACCTTAGTCATGACATAAGCTCCTATAAAAAGCAACCTCCAAATCTTAGCTACTTAACACCCAGTGTAGATGTTTCTAACTGGATGACTCTGCAGTAGCTCTCTTCCAAGCAGTGACTCATGATCCAGGCTACTCCCATCTTGTGGCTCCATTATATTGAGATTTTAGTCACCCTAGCATTACCCAACACCAGACAGGAGAAAGACAATGAGAATGGAGGATTACATATGGAAATTTCTTTCTCAGCCATGCTGTAAAGTGGCTTATATTATTTCTCTATATATTCCATTCACTATAACCCATCAAATGGCCCAACAAACTGCAAGTAATGATTTACTGGGGAAAATACCTGTGAAAGATAAAGTAAGTAAGGCTGGGAAATGTCATTTCTTCATTGTGTGAACATCACAGAGTGCACTTACACAAAGCTAGATGGTATAGCCTACTACACACCCAGATTATATGTTATAGCCTATTGCTCCTAGGCTACAAACCCATACAGCATGTTACTGTACTGAATACGGTAGGTGATTGTAATACAATGGTAAGTATTTGTGTATCTAAATATAGAAAGGGCACAGTGAAGAAATTACAGTCTAAAAGATAAAAATTGCACACCTATACAGGGCAGTTACCATGAATGGAGCTTACAGACCTGGAAATTGCTCTGGGTGAGTCAATGAGTGGGTGGTGAGTAAATGTGAAGACCTACAGCATTACTGTACACTACTGCAGACTTTATAAACACTGCACATTTAGGCTACACTAAATTTATTTTAAAAACTCTTTTCTTTTTCAATAATAATTTTAGCTATTGTATGTAGCTTTTTTACTTTATAAACTTTAAAAAATCTTTTTGGTTAAAAACTAAGTCACAAACACACACACATTAGCCTAGGTCTATACGAGGTCAGGATCATCAAGACATGTAGGCGATAGCAATTTTTCAGCTTCATTATAATCTTATGGGACTACTGGCATATACGCAGTTCATCATTAGCCAAAACATCGTTATGCAGTGCATGACTGTATGTCCTATATTTATTTTTCATAAGTATTAAAAGCTCTAATTTCCCCTTAAACACAGTTGTAGCTGCCTCCCACAAATTTTACTATGTTGTCTTTTCATTGTCATTCAGTTCAAAATATTTTCCTCGTGGTTTATTCTTTGACTTACAGATTATTTAGAAGTGTATTGTTTAATTTTTACATATTTAAAATTTTCTTACACATTCAACTAATTTCTAATTTAGTTGCAGTTTCTTCAGAGAACATACTCCCTATGATTTCAATTGAGACTTATTTTATGGCTCAGAATATAGTCTACCCTCAAGAACTCACCATGCACTCTTGAAAAAAGTTTATTTTGCAATTTTGCACTTGTTTGGTATAGTGTTCTATGTATAATAATTAGGTCAAGACTGCTGAAAGTATTGTTCAGAACTTCTCTGATTTTTGTTTGAGTGTTCTATTAATTGCCATGGGGGAGATATAAAAATCTTCAACTATAATTGTGGTATTATCTATTTTTCTGTTTAACTCTGTCAATTTTTGCTTCTTGTATTTTGAAGTTTTTTATTAGGCACATATGCATTGGTGATTGCTAGGTTTTCCAGATGCTTTGTCTTTTATCAGTATGAAATGTCCATCTAACTTTTTATAAAGGAATTGTAAAATACAAAATCTATTTCATCTGCTGTTAATAAAACTACTCCATCCTTTTAAAAAATTTTAATTGTGGTAAAATACACATAAAATTTATTATCTTAACTACTCTTAAGTGTACAGTTAAGTATATTCACATTGTTTTATAACCAACATCTATAACTTTTTCATCTTTCAAAACTGAAACTATACCCATTAAACAACACCTCCTCATTTCCCCCTCCTGCCAGTCCCTGGCATCCACCATTCTACTTCTGTTTCTATCAGTTTGACTGCACTAGATACCTCATGTAAATGAAATTGTACAGTATTTGGCTGTCTTTTGGGAGTGGATTATTTCACTTAGCATAATGTCTTCAAGTTCCATTCATTTTGTAGCATGTGTCAGCATTTCCTTTCTTTTAAAGGCCGGATAATATTTCGTTGTATGTATATACTGCATTTTGTTTATCCATTCATCTGTGAATGGGCATTTGGATGGCCTCCACCTTTTGGCCGTTATGAATAATGCTATGAATATGAATGTATAAATATCTCTTCAAGACTCTGTTTTCAATTGTTTTGGTGATACACCTAGAAGTATGAGTATTGCTGGATCATATAGTAACTCTATTTTTAATTTTTTTAGGAACTGCTGTACTGTTTTCCATAACAGTTGCACCATTTTACATTCCTACTGTATTAGTTCATTCTCATGCTGCTATGAAGAAATACCCGAGACTGGGTAACTTATAAAGAAAAGAGGTTTAATTGACTCACATTTCCCCATGGCTGGAGAGGCCTCAGGAAACTTACAATCATGGTGGAAGGCTCCTCTTCACAAAGTAGCAGGAGAGAGAACGAGTGCTGAACAAAGGGGGTAACCCCTTATAAAACCATCAGATCTCGTGAGAACTCACTATAATGAGAACACTGTGGGAGAAACCACCCCCATGATTCAATTTTCTCCACCTGGTCCCACCCTTGACACGTGGAAATTATTACAATTCAAGGTGAGATTTGGGTGGGGACAACCCAAACCATATCACCTACTGATGGTGCACAAGGGCTCCAGTTTTTCCACATCCTCACCAACACGTATTTTCTGCCTTTTTAAAAGTTTTTATTTTATTTTATTTTTATTTTATTTTTTGAGACTGAGTCTTGCTCTGTAGCCCAGGCTGGAGTGCAGTGGCACAATCCTGGCTCACTACAACCTCCACCTCCTGGGTCCAAGCAAGTCTCCTACCTCAGCCTCCTGAGTAGCTGGGATTACAGGCACCCACCACCATGCCTGGCTAAGTTTTGTATTTTAGTAGAGATGGGGTTTCACCATGTTGGCCAGGCTGGTCTTGAACTCCTGACCTCAAGTAATCCACTTGCCTTGCCTCTCAAAGTGCTGGGATTACAGGCATAAGCCACTGTGCCTGGCCTCTGCTTTTTTTTATACCAGCCATCCTAATGGGTGTAAAGAGCTACCATGCCTGGCCTCTGCTTTTTTTAATACTAGCCATCCCATTATGGGCTTTCCATCCTTCTTATCTATACTGTTTGCATGCTATAGTTTTTCCATCTAGTTACATTCAAACTTTGTCTTTATATTTAAAGTGTATCTCTTAAAAACAGCCTACACTGGAGTCTTGTTTTTTTTCCTCACATTCTGATAACATCTGCATTTCACTGGGTATATTAGGTCTAGTAATGGTTGGGTGTGGTTTTTACCCACCCAACCAATAAAAACATTTATTCTTTATTTTATATTTATTTCCTCTTTTAAAATTCTATTAGTACTCTTTATCTGTATTTTTAAATTATTTGAATATGTTTAGAAACTTTAAAAATGTTCCCATTGGCTTTTTAGGTATACTTTGCCTTTTCGGCTGTTCTATGGATAAAATATGTATCTTAATATTTTCACAGACCAAATAACAATTAATATTACAGCATTTCACATAAAATATAGAATCCTGCCAGCCTATAGATACATACCCTGTCCTCATCCTTTATGCTACATCTACCTTCATTATCAACATTGTCATTATTCACTCTCAACAATGTATTATCAACATTGTCACAAGACACTGTTATAATTTTGTCATTAAACACTGTGTGGTAAAGAATTAATCTTGCTCAAAGGGAGGTCTGCCCTGTGCCCTTGACTTCTGGAAGGTAATCTTGAAGCCCTTGGAATGTCCTGCCTCATAAGAGTGTCTGTTTACCTGAGGGCTTTAAGCCACATCAAATATAGCAATGTAATGTATAGTGGAAATTTTGGGTCCTATGGTATCAGCTCAACTACTGGAGGGGCTGGAAACTAAGATCAGCCGTGTGGATGGTCCATCATGTCTATGTGACACAGCCATGATAAAATCTTGAACAAGATTCAGGTGAGTTTCCCCACTTGGCACTACTCTATATATCTTGTTATACATCATTTCCATGAACACTGAGAAAGGACAACTGGAAGCTCCATCCATGGAATTCTCTTGGACTCTACCCATGTGTCTCTGTCTCTTTCCTCAGCTGATTGTAATCTGTAATAAACCATAACCATGAGTATAGCTGCTTTCAGTGAGTTCTGTGAGTCTTTCTAGAGAATTTTTGAATCTGAGGGTGGTCTTGGAGACCTCAGACTTCTAGTTGGTATCAGAAGTGAGGGTGGTCTTGTGGACTACCCTTTAAACTCTTACATACTCATATGTATGGTAAAGAAATTAAGGGGATTTAAAAAATTATAGTCTTTGAATTTACCCAAATATTTTCATTTCTGATACTCTTTTTTTGAGGATTTCTGTGTCCATTTGGAATTATTTCCCTTCCACTAAATAACTTCTTTTGGCATTTTCTTTAAGTGCAGGCCTATTGATGATACATTCTTTTAGTTTTCCTTTATGTGAGAATCTTTATTTCACCTTCATTCTTGAAGAATTTTTTTCACTAGATACAGAATTCTAGGTTGACAATTTTTTGTTTTTTGTTTTTCTTTTGGCACTTAAAAAATGTTTTTACACTCTTTTCTGGTCTCCATAATTTGTGATGAGAAGCAATTTGCAAATTAAATGATTGTTCCCTTATATGTAATCTATCATTTTCTCATTTTCTCAAGTTTTGCTCTTTATATTCAGCTTTCAAAAGTTTATGATGTTCCCAAGCAAAGCCTTCTTTATGTTTGTCCTGCTTAGTGTTTCTTGATCATATTTAATATTCTTATGCTTCATAAAATTTGGAAAATTTTGATTGTTATTTTTTACATTTTTTTTCCTTGCCCAATTCTCTCTCCTCTTTCCTTGTGGAATTCCAATTATACGTATGTTGGACTATTTTATATAATCTACAAGATCCTTGAGGTTCTGTTCATTTTCTTATTTTTTTCTCTGATATTCACTTTAAATAATTTTATTGGTCTATCCTCATGTTCACTTGCCCTTTTCTCTGTCATTGCTACTTTGTTTTTGTAGGGGAAGAAAAATATATATTTTTTTCTCGACCCTCATAAATTTTCAGTTACAGACTTCTGTAAAAAAAGACACTTTAACAACAGAAAAACGGAAGTTTATTAACATGGATATTTCATATATACATGAGAGATACCCAGAGAATGAGTAATTCTCAAAGAGGTGGCTTTGAATTTCAGCTTATATAGCATCGTCAACAAAGAAGAGTAAATTTTTAGAGGAATGACAAGAAAATGAAAAGAGTTTTGAATCTCTAGGGCCATTAAATTGTGAGAAGGCATATAAATTATATAAATATAGATTTCTTTGGTGTTATCTCCAGGTCTACAAGGGTCTAAAGTTAACTTTTGTTCTCCCTGGCAGAGAAAGGAGGTGGGATATCTTTTGGTTTTATTAATTTGTGTTCAGCTTTTAGGCAAATGAGGGGTAAACACAAGAGTTTTCCTGCATCTGCTTCTTTTTAATTGCCATCAGTGCAACAGTCACTATGCCAAAGAGGTATATTTTGGGGTGACATATTCTGGCCTCTCACACTCTTAAATCTATCTGACAGTTTTAAAATTTCAGTTATATTTTCAATTTTAGAATTTATATTTGTTTTCTTTTTACTTGCTCAATTTACCTGCTGAAGTTTCCTACCTTTCACTCATTATAAGCATTTTTTTTTTACTTTATTGCAGGGTCATAATAATGGCTTTAAAATCCTTGTCTGATCAGTCCAATATTTGGATTATTTGATAGTTAGATTTATTTAATTTTTTCTTACGAGTATGTCCCATTTTCCATGTTCTTTATTGTCAAGTAATGTTGATGTACCCAGAGTATTATGAATGTTAAGTTGTGGAACTTGGATTCTGATGCTTTTCTCTGATAACTGTTAGCTAGTTTTAGCAAGCAATTTTACTTGGTTTGAAATGAAAACTCAATTTCTTATGTAGCATCTCCAAATGCAGTTCATATCTTTTGTCTTTAGCAGAGCTATTTTGAGCCTACTTGACACATGTGGTTCAAGAGTTATTGAAAATAAAAGCAGATAGAATTTGGAGATCTTCTCTCTGATCCTTTTCCTTACAGGCTATTCCTCTGTAGTGACTGTGGTCTCCTCAGATTAAGTCTTCTGGGTCCCTGGGACAAAAAGACTGCAGTTTTTCCCCCACCAGTGTCCCAGTGTTACTCAATCCCCACTGACTGCACCTTATCCCAGGCTAAAAGGACAAACATAGAAACTCACTCTATCAGCTCCTTTCCCAGGAGGATGAACTACTTATAAGAATTTGCTTGTATCACTTCACTCTCTAGTGACTTCAGCTAGCTACTTTTTACATTATGTCCAGAGTTTATAGCTATTATCTGCATACAGATCAATATCTTACACAGCAATTACCCCATATTTTCTTTATAACCATCTTTTAACTAGTAAATTGGAATTTTGTCTGTGTGGGAGGCATCCCATGACTATCTGCAGGGATCTCAGTTTCACAGATATTGATTACTGTAAGCTAAGTGACAATGATGATTCACATTTAAATTCTTATTAAATTTAATGCAAATTGATACAAATTACATACCCACATATAAGATAATGGTATACTAGCTATGACTTACAACTAGAATATAACTAAGTTATAGCTTTTGAAATGAAATTAATTGAGCCTAAGGAATAATTCTATTAGGCATTGATATTTATTTAATTTTAAGAGAATATTTATATTTAAGCAGTACCTGAAAAGTTACTTCATTTTCACAAGATTCTAAGAGTATAACATTGTCATTTGGTACATCAGTGCCTTGGGCCTATCTTGCCCTATTATTTTTAACAAGAGTAGGGATGGAAACTGTGAGATAATTGTCTGTTGCAATAACTAGCTATGCTGTTTTGGAGAGGAAGTCCAATGATAGATAAATCTAGTTAATGCAGACACTAACTCAAAAAGCTTGCTGCAAGTGTCATCGTTTATAAATAAATCTCATAAATCTGACCTTGGCCAAGTTATTCAAGACAGGGTTCTTTTCCTCAGTTTCTTCACCTATGACAAATGGATAGGCTTGTGGGGCTGTGGCTAAAACAGATGAAATAAGTAATGAAAAGCAGTTGGCATAGTGTTCAGCCAGTTTAAATATCTGTGGCAATAACTATTTGGTGGCTTTGCAATGTGTCAACAATCACCTCAACTGAAATACATTTCCCAGAATTCCCTTTCCTGCACACTTCCAGTGGGGTCAGGCCACAGAGAGATTTGAGTGGCATATCAGGCAGAGTGAGGCAGCAGTCATCTGTAGTTCGCATTCATTGCCATCCATTTGCTAGCTCACCCTGCTGGCACAAGGCAGCTGATGGGCCTATAACTGACCACCATTTCCTGGAGATTTCTGCAGCTTGCCTGACTCCTGGGCCATTTGTGTGTGTTTTGTTCCATGATGAAAGGCCACCACTTCTGCAGGACAGCCATATCATACAGGTCAGAGGAAACGAGATGATGTAGGTCTCAGGCTGCCCTTTTGGGTTCAAGCTTCTACTGTGGGTTCCAGTCTATCCTTGCTCTCCTAACTTTCCATCCATCTCCCCTTCCTGCCAGCCCGTTCTGTGGCTTCAAGATCCAGTGTCAGATGGAAAAGCAACAGCCTTGCAGAGACTGTTGAGCCAGATCCCACAATCGCATAAAGTCAAGTACTTGGGACCAATTGCTCCTTTTCAACACACACACACACACACACACACACACACACACACACACACACACACAGTTTCTGCTTCTCTGATGGAATGCTGATACAAACAATAATTGAGAGTAATTCAGTTGGTAATACTCTAATTAAACATCAAAAACCCTCCTTTAATGGCTGGTAAACACAAATGACTCTTAATATGGCACCTTGGTGCTCTAGAATGCATCACGGTATGTTGCTAAAAACACCTGAAGAGCACCAGCACTTCTAATAATAACAATAAGAAGTTTAACAAAGGCAGCCGGGCGTGGTGGCTCACGCCTGTAATCCCAGACCTTTGGGAGGCTGAGGTGGGTGGATCACCTGAGGTCAGGAGTTCAAAACCAGCCTGGCCAACATGGTGAAACCCAGTCTCTACTACGAATACAAAAATTAGCCAGGTGTGGTGGCGAGCGCCTGTAATCCCAGCTACTTGGGAGGTTGAGGTGGGAGAATCTCTTGAACCCGGGAGGTGAAGATTGCAGTGAGCCGAGATTGCACCGCTGTACTCCAGCCTGGGCCACAGAGCGAGACTCCATCTCAGAAAAAAAAAAAAAAAAAAGAAGTTTAACAAAAATTTTTTGAGTGGTATATATTATACTAAGTCAAATACTATTTCAAATATTTCTTCTTCATATGAACAATATGAAGTAGAATTTATTAATAGATATCATCATCCACATTTTACAGTTGAGGAAACAGACAGAGTAGATAAGTAACTTCCTGAAATCACACAATTAACACATAATGCAGTCAGGACTCACACACACATGGCACTGATTCCAGAGCCTGTACCTGTAATCATTACACCACACTGCTTTCTGATGCCAGGGGTTACTGTGAAAGTCCACAATGAGTGAGAGCAAACGAACATCACTGAAAATGAACTGGGTAACTGCTTAATTAGAAAAGTTGCAGGCATGGCTGGGTGTGCATTCCTTGAAATTAAAATTGACTGGGACGTGTTAATAACTTTTCACCCTTCTCAATTTAAAAGATCATATTTTCTTTCAACAATTTTTGTTTTTATTTTGTTTTGTTTTGCCTTCCTTTTCCATTATTCCTTTTCTTTTTCCACTGTCACTCTCAGCTTCCAGCCTTCTTCTTTTTTGATCTTTTTCTTCCAGCACTCTGAGCTGGAAATATTTTAGGAGCAGCTTGTTACATGATATTTCACTAAAAATAATACAAGTCAAGTTATTGGCAAAAGAGTTAGCCTTGGAGAAACAGTTGTTCAGAACCTGGAAAGCGGTGTGGTAGATCTGTCCCGGCTTTTCAAACAGGATAAATCTCTGAGACTTTGTGTCTGGTTGTGAGGGTGTCCAGACTAATAGAGATGAATGATCATGCGACTCCTCAGTGGGCTCAGCTGCCTTGAAAGGGTGAGGCCTTGCCGGACAAACATTTTGGGACAAATGGGTCTTATGGATTTGTGGAAGTGATATGGCCACTTTACCAATTTACTCTCCTCTGCTGATTTAAAAGTTTGACCTCCTCAAGCCTCTGTTCTCTCCTCCTGTTATTCTACATCTCTCTTACTCGCCCACACCCATTCGATTCCTGCGTACTGTCTAGAAGCCTAGCGGTTCAGCATGTGGACTCTGGAGCCAGACTCTCCGGGTTTGAATCCTGGCTCTGTACTCCTACCCGGGTGATTTTAAGAATTCTGGGCCTCAGCTTTCTTGTAGGTAAGTAAGTCTAACAACTGTACTTGCCTCAGAGGGTTGTTAGGAAGATTAAATGATTTAGTATTGATAAAGTGCTTAGACAGTGACTGGTAAAAGTGAGTGTTTCCAAGTCAGTTTGTTAAATAAACTTGCAAATCTATCTAGTTTAGACTTTTCCTCTGTATTCCAGACCCACATGTCAACTCCTTATCTCTGCTTGGATATGAGACTAACAACATTTCCAGAATTCAGTCTTTAAAAGACATCCTTTGCTTTTGATGTGCCCTATGTTGGGGATCCCCTCCCCTCTATCCATCCTGTCTAGAAACATGGGGGTCACTTTCACCTCACTCTACCTCACTCTATCCATTGTATTCTTGACTCTGCCTCCTAAATATCTTCCAAATCCTTCTATTGCTGTCCATTAACTTTGCCATCCCTAGTGGGCCAAGCCACCACCATCTGGTTTCGGACCATAGCAATGAGCACCCAAATAGTCTCCATGTACCTGTGATTATACCTCTCCAGTTGATTCCTCTAACTGTGGAAAAGGATAACTTTCAAAATGAAATGCAGTGGCATGCATTTTAAAAGCTCTCCCACTAATGTGCGTTGTTCTTGGTTTATAAAGCTTCAGATTATTATGCTTCAAGGAGTAGTGTTCTGCCTCTGCTTCCCTCTCCACTTCCATTCCTCAATCCCACTCCACCTAGGACCTTCAGCAACATAGTTCCCTCTGCTTAGAATATCACTGCTGTCCCTTCCTGCCGTTAGTCCTGCCCCTCACTCGCCCCACCCATCAATTTCACTCTCCCTTCAAGATGCAATCCAGTGTCACTCCTTTCACCCGTTTGGTATCCTAGTTGGACATTTCAATCACACTCTTGCTTATCCTTTGTGTCACTTATTACAATCCTAATTTAATATTTTAAATTTAATTTCTGTCTTCCTACTAGACTCCCCACTTGGCAAAGACTTTATATCACCCAATGCTGTATTTCCAGCACACAGAATGAGCCCAATGAATAGCTGTTTAATGAATGAGCAAGTATGTGTATGGCTTTACTCATGTTGTTATACGTTTGATCACTGTTAATGAGCACAGAAAAAAAAAATCAAGCACCTTCTCCCACACTGACGCCACATCCATTAAGAAAAAGAAGGATCCTGGGTTCATGGATCCCAAATTTCTACAAATGTAATGTCTACATTTTTTAAAAAGGATTTTATTTCAAATTACCTTCCACAGTTTGGAACCACACTTGATATCCCTGAAAACATTTATTTGCCTTAAATGCACATTCTCAATGCATTTTGCGTAACTTAAAAAGTTCTATTTCTATACAATTTTTTTTCCCAAGGTATGCCTCTATTCCTATCTATGACAAGCTTGAAGAACAATTCAATCTCATTATGACCTTTTATTTCAACTTTGTCCCTCAGTGCCTATAATGAGCCACAAATGTTGAAATAGATCATTCTTTTCATCATTCCTCAGTGGCCCAATTACCAGGAAAGCACAATACCCCAAGAAAAAATAAAGGAGAATGAAAGCCTGCTCAAAGGACGCATTTACATTCTTAAGGATTTCTAGCTTTTTTGATGAAATAAATTACAATGAATGAATCAGAAACTTTATCAGACCTTCATTTCAGGAGAGCCACATGAAAAGGAAGCTGAAGTTCTTTACTTATCCAATAGTCAGTTATAAGGCTATGAATATTCTATAATATTTTATGTCTTCTAATGTAAATGGTAATATAATTGAAGAACAATTATATTAACTATCAGTTATAAATTGGAAAAATTTTAAAAATAGAAAATAAAAAATCTGAATATAATTGTTTAGCTCTAATACACAATTATTTGATTTGTTTTTGGATCCTTGAATTTTAAAACATGTTTGTGTTACCCTCTTGATTCTCTTATGCAGATTACAGCTGCATTTTCTTCTGTCTGTTGGCTGTAGAAATGATACAATAGAAAGCGCTTTTTCTTTATAGACTGGTTGCATGTCTCTGCTTTGCTTAATCCCTAAAACTCTTTCAGGGATTTAAAACTGCATGTAAAAATGTTTCCATCATGCTTGCTGAGTTGAACTAGGTTAATGAGGTTGGGGGACTATCCAGGAGAGTACATGGATTGCTCAAGAGGGTCATTTAACTTTGTTTTCAGAGGGGGTCATGAGAGTCTTGGATGTTCTGAACTTAAACATGCATTTTAGGTGTTTTATTCCTTTTCTTCATTATTAATTTAGGCTTTATTTCTCCTGAATCTTTTGAATTAATTATATTTTTTAGAGGTATAGCCTCTTGATGGTAGAGAATTCTACAAAAATATTGCTTTTTACATGAAATAGCAATTCTCACTGCTAAAATACCTTTCAGAATTTTAAAGGTGGTATTCTCATTTTAATATCTAAGGATTTGACTTTCATTCATACAAAATTGTGTACAGTTTTAAAGACTTCCATTAGGTGCTCTCTCAGCCTTCATCTTTCCTAACTAAAGATTTCTAGTCTTGTCATCCTGACAACTCAAGGCTCAGTGACCTTCCCTAGAATAGTGGATATTCATTAGTTTTTGGCTTATCAAAATCTAATTCATTCCCAATTCCCAGTTGTTCAATGGGGATCCACCACTTGCCACTCTCACTATATATACACACACTATACACCAGGAAATCTATTTTATATATATATATTAAAAATATATATAGCATATTATATATAATATAGAGTGTATATATAATATATAGTGTATATATAATATATATAATAGTGTATAATAGTATTTGTGTATATATATACATATATGTATACATATATACATATATTTGTATATACATATATACACATATACAAATGTATATACAAATGTATATACAAATATATGTGTGTATATATATATATACACACACAGTGTAGCTGTCATCAACCCTGGCCTAGGGATGGTATCTAAGTCATGTGTGGCCACACAAGGTCTCATATTTCCCTGTCTGTAGTGATTTGTTTAGAGGCAGACTTGTGACCAAATCAGTGCCATTGAGATGCTATGAAATATTTCTTAGAACTCTTGGATAAGAGAATGGCATGCTTTGGGGGGATATATTTAAACACGAGACAATGCGCGTTCTGAGGCTGTTGTAGATATCTATCACAAGGGGACATTTTTTTGAGGATGAAACTCATTGTAATTAAACAGTAGCCTTTTACAACCCTAGGAGAAAGTGAAGCCTGAGACCTTAATATGTTATTAATGTTCTGTAATAATCAATTCTCAGTCTCTGAAGGATGATGTTAATGATTTGAAATATCTGAGGGCCCCAAAAATAAAATAAATACACAATGGGAAAACCCCAAGTTTTGAGGGCTGTGGAGCCAAGTCCCATCATTGGCTATACAAATGAATTATAGTTAGGGGAAGAAAAGCAGATGCATGGGTTAGCTGAGGTTTCATGGGGCCACAGGGCACAATGGTTCATTCAATAATTAAACTAATTTTCCCCACATTCAATTAACAAAACAATACATGGTTATAACATATTACATACCAAAGTTGAACAGTAGTCAAGTAAAACATGATAGGATTTTCATAGATCAAAGGATCCACCAGTGAATTACAGCAAAATATTCTAATTTCCCTAGCTGATACAAACTCTGGCTTGGTCAATGAGTCCATTATCTTTATTTTTTGCAGAGTTGTAACAGAGTAGTGTAGTAAAGAAGGAATTAAGCCCAGCCTGAGTCCCATAGCTACTGAGCTGTATGCCAAGGCAATCTTTATCTCAGTGTCCTCATCTTTAAAATGGAAGGGTAGATAAATAGCCTTCAAAATCCTTTTAATGTTTTGTTTTTGGTCTATTTCTTTTCAAACATTTTATACTTAGCCCAAATCCTTACCAATACATTTTAATTATTAATCTTACAAATAAATGAATGATTCTCAGAATGGAAGGGAGAACATATCATAGACCAAAAGTGGGTATTTATCAAACTCTTATGCCTACTTACACTTCCTGTCTAGGATGTCTCGGTTTTAGGAAACAGAGGAATATTATCTTGAGAAAGCTCCAAGTGGTCCCCAATGTATACACACCTACCTCTGTTTACAATTACTATACTAAATCAGCAACTTCTTTCCATTCAAGGCTTGAGATTCATTTGAATCTCAAATTGAATCACCAAATACATCATAATTGGATAAGAATTATCATTCATACTACCATTAATTAATTAATTTTGCCTTTAGTGAAATATTCCAAGGCAGAATGTTTGGGACTGTTTTACTGACTGCTTTTTCTTGAGATCTAATTCATTCGACATTTTCCTATGGAGTAAACTACAGGCAAAACTAATTAATATTATTAATAATGATATGACAATAATGACATTTATTGAGTACATACCAAGCAACATTCATTTTACTAAGTTTTTACAGTGGATTATCTCATTCAGTCCTCTCAAAAATGCTTTGAGGTAGGTGCTAACATGTCCAAATTTTAAAATGGAAAAGCTGAGATTTAGATTTAAAAGCCTTGCCCAAAGTTATACAGCTGTAAAGTGGCTAAGCTGGGATTTGAATTCAGGTCTGCCTGACAGCTAAATCTGTTCTCATTATTACTATTGCTTCTATAATCACTAATTACATTAATTTAGTGTCTACTATCTTCTATGTGCCAGATAAGTGTTAAGTGACTTATATTCATTATCTCACACTGAACCACAACCCCACAAGGGAGTTTATTATTCTTACAGAGTTGCAAGGCAGAAGAATTTGAAGTTTTTGGATTATTGCATGCTATAAGTAGGTTTCTTTCATACATTTATGAAACTGGTGCCTTGCTACATGTATACATATGAATGTCAGCCATCAAAGAAAATGGTAGCTTAGGATGAATGCTGTAGAATGGCCCTGTCTACTGAAGGCCAAATGTATCAGAATGAATCTATTCCATGTAGACAAATGAAATTTTTTTATAAACCTTCTGATTATTTGTAATCAGAGCCAGGAAAGAGACAGTGGTTTATGACCCAGAACTAATGAGGCTTGAAATACTTTTTCAATAGTTAAAAAATATATAGTGATATTCTTTAAAAAGTTAATATTCTTGTTGTATCACTTTTAAAAGAATTATAATATCAATATCATTAGGTTTTAACTTTTATATTTTCTGGTTTTCTACATAAAAGTACTCTTGTATAGTCTTATTATGTTTCTAGACATAACAACTATTTCAATTCTGCTTAACAGAGATTTCTAGCCAATAAAGGGTGCCAGACATGAGTCTGGTCCCAGGGAATCGCTGTGGATTAAGACTCAGTCTCTGGTCTGGAGGAGTTTACCCCAGAACCCTCTGTCCATTTTTAAACACTTCCCGTCTGGGGCCAAGATTCCTCTATCTCCAGTCACCTTGCATGCTGACTGGCTGCATAACAACTATTTTAAACTTAGTCTTTGGAAGGAGTTTAACCTTCATTTAGTAGAAGGAGATAATACTTTGTTTTCCTCTGGCTTTGATATGTATCTTCCATAGTTAGAATTCCTATTAATGTTTTAGGTTCTGCTTCGCCAGAGTGAAAACAAGGGCCTGTCTTCAAGCAGGTTAAGACCTAATGATACACTAAGTGTTTAAAAGAATTCTTTTCTTTAAAACCTCTCAAAAATGAAGCAAAGTGAGGGCTGGGAAACAACAGGCACACAAGGGACTTGATAATGATCTTGAAATTTGTGAAGGGTTATTGTACAAATGAGGATTCAGAAGCAGTGATATTTTTCAACTGATAGTCCAACAAATAGTAAGTAAAACATTAAAAACAAAAAGTAAAAGGCCTTTTATTTCAGCAGAATTCCAGAATTTGTAAAATTATAAGGCTCAGGAAATTTGAAAGATGCTGATACCTAAAGGAAGCTGAGACACAACTTTAAAAAATATTTCACTATGTGCATACAGCTTTCTGGAGAAACGGAACCGACCCATTTCTGAGGTCCCTCTATGGCAGCCTGTGCAAGGCACACAAACACCCCAAGATATTTTCTTATGGCCTGTATTTTATAAAAGAGAAAACAGAGACTCAAAGATATTAACTTGTCCAAAGTCATGCAACTAGTGAGTGGCAGAATAGGAATTCAAACCCAGCTTTGACTCCAGAGCCTGCACTCTTCCCATTAGATCATTCTACATCCTTTTTTGGGATGGTTTAGTTGCCAACTGGGGATAAAATAAATGGTCTTTTGAAATTCTTTCCATTGCCTGGATTCTATTCTCCCTTATTTGATCCCAATATTGGCCTTAACACTGTTTAGCAATTTGTTATACTGAGAACATGGGTTAGGAAACAATACAATTTGATGAGTTTAATGTAAATTGTTTTCAAACTTAAGTTCTCACTCTTACTAGGTCACAAAATCTCAGTGAGAAGGCACCTCAGAGTTCATCCGGTACAAGTCAAGTCCAGTGTGTAATTCAATCTGTCTTTCTCCTGTCTTTCAGCAAATATTTAGTAGCACTATGCGTTAAGCAGTGTATATACAGCAGTGAGTAACACAGACCAGCCCCTGCTATCATGAAGCCTTTTCCTTGTTGCCGCTGCTCTCTTCTGCATTTTATAGCTGCTCATTCGGTGGAGTAGGATAGACTCTAGCTAATAAAGGAAAGAGAAAAGGCCAAACCATTTCAAAGACTCTCTTTTACATAGCTTATTAAGAACCCCCTGTTGAATGGTTGACATCTAAGGCAGTAATTGGGTACATAAAATTCGATCTTAGTGCTTTGCCCTTAGTCTGTGGTCTTATTAGCGAGTTTAAATGCATTTTCCCCATGTGGCTTAAAGATTGTTAAAGATCTAGAAATACTTTTTGACTCGTCTGAGCAGACAGGAAGACAGATGGACTTAGAGAGTAATGGTTGGCAAGAACATGCTGTTAGTAGCTTGATTTGAAGGTGGTTCTGAGAAGGATCTTAGAGATTTCAGTGGGTGTCTGAGACAGGATTTACTTAGAAAGGGAAAAAGAAAGTGACTGTAGAGACAGCCCAGGGAGTATGACATCACTGCAGGAGCAGAGTGGGAAGGCCGGGAAGAATAGTGTGAAATAACACCTACCAAAACATACGCCAGAAGACAGGCAAAGCCCCCATGCAAGAATGCCACTTGTTGCCTAAAGCACCCTGTGCATTTTGTTACTTTGCCTCCGTGTAGATCTGTCTTATTTTGTCTTGTGTGTGGTTAGTGATACACTGATCTCTCTCCCTCCGTAAGAATGAAAGTGAGTCAGAGCAGGGAACCGTGGCTTAGTCATCTTGGAATACCCCAGTACCTTGCTCACTGTCTCTTAGACAGAGTGGGCGGCCCAATAGGATAGAGGATCTAGAACTTTTTGATTGGGTAAAAGGCCTATACTTAGCAATAGTTTTTGAATAATAAATGAAGTTAGGGAGAAAAAAGCAGAAACGTGTCCTGTTCCAAGCAAGCTTGGAGGGAAGAAAATAGAGCAGTTCAGAGTTGTTTTTATTCTTTCAGAAGTCACTAGCTAAAATTAAAGAGCATCAAAAGATGAAAGCAGGGGGCCATTTGCCTTGTTTTATCATAAGCAAAATCCTGATTTGTGGGGTTCGTTGCATATCCTGCTTCCCTAGGCCTACCCAGCCTGGAGTTAAAAACAGTAACCAAACAGAATTTGCTTTAGTTTGCCCCCAGTTTCCCCTACAAGAATTTCAGTTACCTTTGAATCTCTCCCTAATTGTTCTGGGAAGTCCAGGAGTTACTTCACTTGTATTCTCATCTTGGCCACCATCTGCCAGGAGCCACTTTCTTCTTCTCTGCTCAGCAGCTGAGAGGTTGCCAAGAAGCCAACAAGAGGCTTCTGATAAGTGTATGCAGGCATTAGGCATCCATTTTCAGTGTGCATTAAAGCCCACTGTTCTCCCACCCTCCATTGCAGATGTAGGCCCATATGATGACTTCTCAGTCCATCATTTCTTTCTGTACTACAGCATGCTCCAGTTCTTCTTGGTGAAAGACAGTATTGTTAGGTGGTCAAGAGTGTGGATTTTAAATTCAGAGAGATGTACATAGAATCCTGGATCTGCCATGTTTGAGCTATGTGTCCACAGGCAAGTTACACATCCCTTTTAAGCCTTAATTGGAGAAAATAATGACCATATCATTGGATCACTGTGATGATTGGATTAGATAATGTATGCAAAATGTTTACTAATTAGAAGAGCTCAATAAATGTTAATTATTTGTATTACTGCCATGAGTTACCTAGGTTACACAAAAGCACTTCTTTGTGCTCTCAATATCTAAAGATTTTTTGTAAAAACAGCTCTTAAAATTTAAAAAAAAATTTGTTTATGGAAATGAGGTCTTATATTACTCAGGCTGGTCACAAAGTCCTGGCCTCAAGTGATCCTCCTGCCTTGACCTCCCAAAGTGCTAGGATTACAGGTGTGAGCCCTCCAAGGAAACCAAATGGGGAATGATCTGAATGATAATGTTATTACCCAAATGATCCTCTCCTCCAACCCTATCCCACTGTCTTCAAATGTATTCCCCTCAAATCTGTTCTTATAATGAGCTATTTCCTAGTGAGATCTTGAGTACTTCATGCCAACAGAGCTCTGAAGGGTCCCCTACAGTGAATCTCCAGATGGGGCCAGGCATGTTTGAATGGTAGTATGAACACAGCTAAGATCTTTAACATCTAGGGAAAAATTTGGCAATAGCTAGATGGTAGGTGAAAATGTTAAGGAGGTAATGTAAAATAAGAAAAAAGGAAGAGAAATTCAAGTCCCCCAGGAAAGCAAGCCAAGACTCCATCATAGAGCATACTTTCTGGAAGTCAAAGGTTATCTTTTAATTTACATTTTCCCGCAGAAAATTAGTACATACAAGCAAAAAACCAAACAAATATGGCTTTACTGCATTCTGAGTAATATTCTTCAAAAAAATGCTGGCAGAAAAGCTGGGACGTGTTTTATGCCTTGGTCGGAAATGCGCATCATGATTCACCAGACACAATTCAATTCACTTTGAAATTATCCCCTCTTTTATGCCCTTCAATGGGAGAAAAAAATGAATCTACTCAGTAATGAATGCACAGTCCATTATAGTTATTGTGTTCTTCTTGAAAAAAAAAATAACATGACAGCTTTATTCACTCCATGTGGCAAACCAAATTGCATCAAGTAAAGTGCAAATAAGACAAACACTAAAATTGAATTTTTCCTTCCTCTTGTACCTAGAGGCATATGCTATGGCGGGAATGCATAAGTTAAAATGGCAATAATAATAATAACAGTGGAAAACCAAATGCAAATATTAAACTCAGTTAGAAAACTGATTCCAAGGGGCAGCAGTTTTCATGCTCCATCTGCTTGGAGAAAATTTCTTGTTAATCAGGTCTATAAATGAGTATGGGTGTTGGATTCTGTTCTCTGCTAAAGCCATAAAAATTTTCGTACAGTAATGCACCTTATCTGTTGAATCTGCTTTATTTATTTAAGTTCCAAAGACCCCCAGGAAGTTTGCTAACTAATACCCCAGGGAAACTGGTCAAATGAATGCATGCTACTAGGTACTATGGCAAACACTAATGGAGAAATAAATCAACTATTTCTTTTATTATTTTCTAATAAATTAGAAAATTTGACTTTTTAATTTAGATGTCAACTGAGGACTATTCTTTATCACTATGCTGGTGAGGCCCAGTGAATATATTCATGGGAGAAAACCAGCTCACCAAATTCCAGTAATTTGCTTTAAGTATCCTTTGTGAAATTTCCTGTGCATGCTTAGATAATAGAAAATTCTCATGGGACTTTCTTTTCCTTGGTCTTGAAAACACATCTATTAAGACTAGTTCTGTTTTATTTCTATTGCTTTTATGTTGCAAGGCTTAATGGAACATGTGACTTAGATTAATATGCAATTTTTTAGAAAGCAAAAGGAGTATAGAAGCTAAGTTTTTTCCTACGTTTTATTGTTGTTACTATTTTTTTTTTTTTTTTTTTTGAGACGGAGTCTCACTCTGTCGCCCAGGCTGGAGTGCAGTGGCGCGATCTCAGCTCACTGCAAGCTCCGCCTCCCGGGTTCACGCCATTCTCCTGCCTCAGCCTCCCGAGTAGCTGGGACTACAGGCGCCCGCCACCGCGCCTGGCTAATTTTTTGTATTTTTAGTAGAGACGGGGTTTCACCGTGGTCGCGATCTCCTGACCTTGTGATCCGCCCACCTCAGCCTCCCAAAGTGCTGGGATTACAGGCGTGAGCCACCGCGCCCGGCTTACTATTTGCTTTTAAATCATGATGGAGAGCACAGGCTTTGGATTAAAATGGATGCCCTTCTGTTTAAAATCCAACTCTGCCAAGAGCTAGTTCTGTAACCTTGGACAAGTTATTTAACCTCTTTAAACCTCGACAACCTATTCTGTAAAATAGGTGCAAGAGTTTCTTTCTCACAAGACTGTAAAGATGAAATTCACCTTAGTAAAGTAGCTGGCTCATAGTGAGTACTATACAAATGATAGCTGTTAACATTATTATTAAGCATATTAATTTATGATTATTTATTCAGTTTTTTTGGGGGGGAATTGATTGACTTCACTCTAGGTGTAACCCAATAGATATAAATCTAAACAGACCAGTCATTGTTAAGGAAAAAAGCTCTTGCTAAGAGTGACTCTTTTAGTACAATGCTTGTGACATGCACATAAACAGGCAATGAACTGCCTCTAGGACAAAGGACCTCAAGCAGCTGGTTTCACACAGAGCAATCTAACTTTATGCCACCGAAGGTTAGAATGCCCCTACATGCTCATCACAAACTTAGATGAAATAACAAACCAAATAAATATCTACTTTGTGCCTTCTATGTGTCAGGCATTGTGTTAAGCACGTCACATATCTAATGACGCTATGATGTCTTCTCCCCATTTTATGGATAAAATCACTAAGCCTCAGAGATAATAAACAACTTGATTAAAGTTTCTCAGCTATAATGGTGGAGAGGGAATTGTGGTTTAAGCTGGGCTTGCATTTTCCATTAGACCATATTTTGCTTTTCATAATGGGCAAGGTAAATTACTCCACCTAAAGCAAAAGAGAGGTGCAGGAGGTGCATTTTCTTTAAGAACAAGGAGCGTGCATGGGGGCAGGAGGTGGGGGCTGATTCTGAGTATGCCTGCTGCTCCAAGTGTCCCCTGACCCACATCCATAGACTCAGGCCGCAGGCCACAATATGAGACTGAGGGAAACCCCAGGAGTTGTTTGGGTCACAGTCCAGGAGAGGCAGATGGAAGATGGGTGGAGACCTAGACCCTAGAACCACTCTGCATAGGTTTGTCTTCCCAGCTTTCCTATGGACATATTCGCTGACCTTGCACAAGTTACTTTAACTTGTCCTAGCCTCCAATTTTTTCATCTGGAAAGTGGGAGTAAAATACTACCTGCCTCCCAGGCTCTTATGATTATTAACTGACTTAATACATACAAAGTGCTTAAAGAAAAGCCTGGAATCTAGTAAGTTCTCAAAAAATGTTATCTGGTGCTGTTCTATGATGTATCAAGATTATGGCAGATAACAATTTGACCTTGCTAAGTTTGTCTGGTATCCTTGCATTTCCTTGCCTGTCTCTGCTTGTCATTGGCATTTTCTGCCCTCAGGGATGTCACAGCTAAGGAGCCAATAGCAGTAGGGCCTCCAGGGCCTCTGGGCAAAGTGAGCACAATCCTCCTCCCTTCCTGTCCCTCTCCAAAGCAAGGTCATGTTCCTCCTGGAGTAGGGCAAGGAGAAGAACGGGAAGGAAGCAAGGGAGGCAGATGCCGGTGTGTGTCACTCAAAAAGGGAGCAGGCTCTTTCCCTTACCTCTTAGCCAGAGCCCCCAGGAGGAGAGAAGGCTGGACAAAACAATCCGGATCAGTCCAGGGAATCTGGGAATAGAGGGCTTCTGTGCTCATTCAGAGACGGAGAAACAAGCAGGAGTCGGGAGACTTGCATGAACGGCCAGGTCATCCGTAGTAGGATTTCCCCCACACTCACCATGGGGCCAGTGATGAGGAAGAGCAGGAACCATCCTCAGATCTCTGAGGCTCTAGAGTGGCGTGCAGGTATCTGTCAGAGAGCTAGGTCTGAAAGGTCTTTAGGGTGGGAGTCAGGGGAGATGCATCCGCTGACTTTGTTGATGGTTGAGGACCCCAGAGAGGCCAAAGGACATCATTGTTTAGGAGACAAGGACTTAGTACTGCCTCCTCCCACCACCAGACAATGCAGAGGTAGTGTGTATTCCCTTGGAAACATATATGCAACTTGGGAAGAGGGCTCTAAATTCACCGAGTTTCTATCACCATTCAGAATGGGTGCTTAAAGTAGAACTTAAGTGAACTCGAAAGTCAAGAGAATTACATTGACTGCTCACTTGAGTGAAGTGTTACCCAGGGAAGCTGAAGCTATGGTGCTGATGGAAGATGCTGCCATGAGCAGGCAGCAGCATTTTGAGTGTGTACGCTGGCAGGTACCAGTGGCATGACACATGAGATTTTGTTTTGTCTTTGCTTGTAGGATATACTGAAACTTTATCAAGTGGGAACTCTATGCTAGGCACTGTGCTAACTTTTTAAACAGGATTATCTCGTTTCATTATCACAATCACACTGTGGGATAAATACTATTATTATCCTCAATTTACTGAAGCTAAAATCAAGGCCTAGATAGATCAAGGTTAAGCTTCTAGTATGTGGTGGGACTGGGATTTGAGTCCAGCCATTCTGTTGCCAGAGCCTGTGCAGTTAAGTGCTGTGACGTCCTACCAGGCTCAGACAATGCTTAAAGGCAGACTCTCTGGCAGACATTGGCATTGGCGGTAACAGGAGAACTCACCAAGGGGCATGTGCAGCAGAGGTGGAATGCGAGGCTACCTCTTGGAGCCAGGATGACAAAGTTGCAGGTTGCACCGATTAAGTATTTAGGAGGAATTCAAAAGATAGCTGGAGTTCTGCTGAAGAGGGCCAAACCAGAAAAATAGTTATTTTGTCACTGCCATTGTAGTCTTATTTTTGTGTCTGGGCTGGTGTGGCTTAGAAAAGAGGGTATACAGTCAGCATCTCCACTTATTGCAAAGAAGGTAAATGGATGGCCCTTGGAAGAAGGCTTCGCTAAATGGTCTTTCAGCATCTAGTGTCGCTGATGAGATGTCTGATTCCAATCTGGTTCTCATTACTTTCTTGTTAACATAATTATTCTCACTGGGTTTTTATTTTAGGATCTTTTCTTACTTCCTTTTATTCTAAAATTCCCTAATGATGTGAGCAGTGTGAACTTCTTTCTCTCTGTTTGGTGTTCAGAGACCGTTTCAACCAGAATCATTAAATCTTTTTTCAGGCATGGGACATGTTTTCTCATCTAATCCTTGGTAACACATATGCCATCCATTCTGACTTCTTTCTTTTTAGAACCCATTAGTTGCACATGGAATCCTTATGAATTAGCCCTCTAAGGATTTTCTGTTTTTTCCTTTCTTAATTTTCCATCTTGTTGTCATTATGCTTTATATCCTGGGAAATCTTGATTTTAACTTGTAGTGTATTTTTATTAGTAGTACATAAGAAGTATTCATATTTGTTGATGTCCATGTGATATTTTGACATATGCATACAATGTGTAATGATAAAATCAATGTATTTAGGATATCCATCACCTCACACATTTATCATTTCTTTGTGTTGGGAATATTTCAAATGTTCTCTTCTAGCTATTTTGAAATACATAATAAATTATCATTAACAAGCCACACTACTTTGCTATTGAACACTAGAATTTATTCCTTCTCTCTAACTGTATGTTTCTATTCATTAACCAACCTCTCATCTTCCTCACTGCCACCCTACTCAACCTCTGGTAACCAGTATTCTAATCTCTACCTTCATGAGATCAACTTTTTAACCTCCCACATCTGAGAGAGAACATGCAATATCTGCCTTTCTGTTGCTGGCTTATTTCACTTAACATTATAACCTCCAGTTCCATCCATGTAACAAGATTTCATTCTTTTTTATGGCTGAATACTATTCAACTGGGTATTTACATCACATTTTCTGTATCCATTCATCCATCAGTGAACACTTAGATTGATTCCATATCTTTGCTACTATGAATAGCACTGCAGTAAACATGGGGATACAGATATCCCTTTGCTATGCTGATGCCCTTTCCTTTGGATAAATACTGAGTAGTGGGATTGTTGGATTGTATGGCATTCTATGTTTAGGTTTCTGAGAAATCTCCATATTGTTTTTTATAATGGCTGTACTAATTTACATTCCCATCAACAGTGTAAAAGAGTTACCTTCTCTCCATATTCTCAGCAGCATCTGTTATATTTTGTCTTTTTGCCAATAGCCATTCGAACTGGGGTGAAGTGATATCACATTGTGATTTTGAATTGCATTTTTCTGATGATTAGTGATGTTGAGCATTTTTTCATATACCTGTTGACCATTTGTGTGTCATCTTTTGAAAAATGTCTATTCAGATCCTTTGCCCACTTGTAATGGAATTATTGGGCTCTTTGCTATTGAGTTCCTTGTATGTTCTAGATATTAATCCCTTGTTGGATGCATAGTTTGCAAATATTTTCTCCTATTTAACAGGTTGTCTCTTCAATCTATTGATTCTTTTCCTTTGCTGTGCAGAAGCTTTTTAAGATTGTCCAATTTGTCTATTTTTGCTTTTGTTGCCTATGCTTTTGAGGTCTCAGCCATAACATCTTTTCCCTGAACCATGTTCTAAAGCATTTCCCCTTTGTTTTCTTCTAATGGTTTTAGAGTCTTGGGTCTTGTAGATCTTCAATCCATTTCTAGTTGATTTTTGTTTATAATGAGAGATATTGGTCTAGTTTCATTCTTCTGCATATGGATATTCAGTTTTTTCAGCACCATTTATTGAAGGGAGTGTCCTGTTCCCAATGTTTGTTCTTGGCACCTTTGACAAAAATCAGTTGGCTCTAAATATATACATTTATTTCTGGATTGTCTATTCTGTTTCATTGGTCTATGTCTCTGTTTTTATGCCAATACTATGCTCCTTTGGATACTATAGCTTTGTAGTATATTTTGAAATCAAGTAATATGATTACCAGCTTTGCTCTTTCTGCTCAGTATTGCTTTGGCTATTCAGCATCTTTTGTGGTTCAATACAAATTTTAGAATTGTTTTTTTTCTCTCCATTTCTGTGAAAAATGTCATTGGTATTTTGATAGGGATTGCATTAAATCTGCATATTGTTTTGGGCAGTATGGTCATTTTAACAATATTAATTCTTCCAATACATGAACATCAGATATCTTTCAACTTGTTTGTGTCCCCTTCAATTTCTTTCATCAGTGTTTTATGGTATTCACTGTAGAGGTCTTTCATATTCCTGATTAAATTTATTCCTAGGTATTTTTATTTAGAGCTATTTTAAGTTGGATTGCCTTCTTGATTTCTTTTTCAGCTAGTTCATTATTGGTGTATACAAAAGAGAAATGCTACTGATTTCTGTGTTTTGATTTTGTATCCTGCAGCTTTACTGAATTTATTTATCAGTTATAAGAGTATTTTTGGTGGAGTCTTCAGGTTGTTTGATACATAAGATAATGCCATCTGCAAAGAGTGACCATTTAACTTCCCCTTTTCCAATTTGAATCCCCTTTATTTCATTCTCTTGCCTAATTGCTCTGGCTAGGACTTCTAGTACTATGTTGGGTAAGAGTTGTGAAAGTGGACATCTGTGTTTTGTTCCAGTTCTTATAGGAAAGGCTTTCAGCTTTTACCCATTCAGTATAATGTTAGCTGTGGGTTTGTCATATATGGCCTTTATTATATTGAGGTATGTTTTCTCTATGCCTAATTTGTTGAAAGTTTTTATCATCAAAGGATGTTGAACCTTATCAATTGCTTTTCGCACCTGTTGACATAATCATCTGGATTTTGTCCTTCTTTCTGTTGATGTGATGTATTACATTTATTGATTTGTGATGTGGAACCATCCTTGCATCCCTGGGATAAATCTCACTGGATTATGTTGTATTACCTTTTTGATGTGTTGTTGGATTTGATCTGCTAGAATTTTGTTCTGGATTTTGCTTCTGTGTTTATAAGGAATCTTACTCTGTAGTTTTACCTTTTGGTGTGTTCTTATCTGGTTTTGATATCAGGGTTATGCTGGCCTCATATAATGAGTTAGGAAGAATTTTATCCTCTTCAATTTTCAAAAGATTTTGAGAAGAACTGATGTTAATTCTTCTTTATAAATCTGATAGAATTTAGCAGTCAACCATCCAGTCCTGGGCTTTTTTGTTGTTGTTGTTGTTTTCATTTTTTATTACTGATTCAATATCTTTACTCATTATGAGTCTGTTTACTGTATCCTCCTGATTCAATCTGGGCAACTTCTATGTGTACAGGAATTTATCCATGTCTTCTAGGTTTTCCAATTTGTTAGCATATATTCATAATAGTCTCTAATGATCCTTTATATTTCTGTGGTGTCAGTAGTAACATCTCCTTTTAGTTTCTGAGTATATTTATATGGGTCTTCTCTCTTTTATTCTTGGTTAGTCTAGCAGTTTATCAGCTTTGTTTATCCTTTCAAAAAATCAACTTTTCATTTTGTTAATCCACTGCATTTTTTTAAGTCTCTATTTCATTTAGTTCTGCTCTGATCTTATTTCTTTCCTTCTGTTAATTTTGAGTTTGGTTTCTTTTTGCTCTTTTTAGTTCCTTAAGGTTAGCCATTAGGTTATTTGAAATCTTTCCAATTTTTTATGTAGGTATTTATTGCTATAAACTTCCCTCTTAGCACTGCTTTTGCTGTATCCCACAAGTTTTGGTATGTTATGTTTACATTTTCATTTGTTTCAAGAAATTTTTTTTTCTTCTTAATTGACACAGTGGTTGTTCAGGAGCATGTTGCTTGATTTTCATGTATTTATACAGTTTCTAAAGTTCCTCTTGCTGTTGATTTCTAGTTTTATTCCACTGTGGTCTGAAAAGATACTTGATATAATTTCAATTTTTAAAACATTTTGAGACTTGTTTTGTGGCCAAATATATGATCTAACCTGGGGAATGTTCCAAGTGCTGATGAGAAGAATGTGTATTCTGCAGCTGTTTGATAAAATGTTCTATAAACATCTGTTAGGTACACTTGGTCTATAATGCAGATTAAGCCTGATATTTCCACGCTGATTTTCTGTCTAGATGGTCTAATGCTGAAGGTGGAGGGTTAAATACCTCAACTATTGTTGTATTGAGATTGATCTCTGCCTTTAGCTTTTACAATATTTGATTTATATGTCTGTGTAGTCTGGCATTGGGTGCATATTGTTATTAATATATTCTCTTGCTGAATTTATCCTTTCGTCATGGTATAATGGTATTCTTTGTCTCTTTTTATGTTTTATTGACTTGAAGTCTATTTTGTCTATTGTAAGTATCACTACTTCTACATGCTTTTGGTTCCCATTTTCATGGAAATTTTTTCCACCCCTTTACTTTTAATAAATGTGTGTCTTTACAGGTAAAATGAGTTTTCTGTAGGCAGTTGGGTCCCAGGTTTTTAAATTATTATTATTTCAGCCAGTCTATATCTTTTAATTGGGGAATTTAAACCATTTACATTCAAACTTGTTATTAATAGCTGAGGACCTACTCTTGTCATTTTGTTAATTGTTTTCTGATCATTTTATATATCTTTTGAATATATCATCCCATTCTCTCCTGGCCTATATGGTTTCTGCTGAGAAATCTGCTGAATAGCCTTATGGAGATTCCCTCATATGTGACTTGACACTTTTCTTCCACTGTTTTTAGAACATTCATTTTGTATCTGCCTTTCGACAGTTTGACTATAATGTTCTTGGAGATCTTTTTGAGTTTAATCTTCGTTGGGAATTTTGAGCTTCCTATACCTGGATGTCTATATCTTTTGCAAGACTTGAGAAGTTTTTAGCTATTATTTCATTAAATAGGTTTCCTCTGCCTTTCCTCATCTCTTCTCCTTCTAGAACTCCCAAAATTCAAATATTTGGTCTCTTTATGGTGTCACATATATCATGTAAGTTTCTTTTTTAGTCTTTTTTCGTCTGATTGAATTATTTCAAAAGCCCTATCTTCAGAAATTATTTCTTCTGTTTAATCTATTGTTAAAACTCTTGATTATATTTTTTATTTCACTAATTCCTCAGTTCCAGGACTTATGTTTGGTTCATTTTTATCATATCTATCTTTTTGTTGAATTTCTTATTCAGATCATAAATTGTTTTTCTGATTTCTT
This sequence comes from Homo sapiens, assembly GCF_000001405.40. NCBI lineage: Eukaryota > Metazoa > Chordata > Mammalia > Primates > Hominidae > Homo > Homo sapiens. Next base: position 67,839,291 of record NC_000012.12, read on the forward strand.
TGTATTTCTTATCTGTGTTCTCCTGTATCTCACTGAATTTCTTAAATGTTGTCATTTTGAATTCTTTTGCAAGAATTTCATAGATTTTCTTTTCTTTTGGGATTTATTGCTGAAGAATTATTGTGTTCCTTTGATTATGTCATTTACTTGCTTTTTTAATGTTTCTTTTGTCCTTACATTCATATCTGCACATCTAGCATAACAGTTGCTTCTTCCAATTGTACGGATTGGGTTTTGTAGAGAAAGAATTTTTTTTACAATAGAGATATCTATAGTATTGGTTGAGTAGGGTGCTTTGGCTTTGATTCTGGGTGGCCACAGTAGTGGAGCCTCCATATGGTATCTTCGACTGTAATCAGTGTTAATGGAGTCTCTGACTTCCTCAGTGGCTTAGGTTGTGGTTATTAGTGGAGGCTGTGGCAAGGCTATGGTGAGGATGGGGATGTCAGGTGTGTTTGTTTTGGGGGATCCAATGGTGGTGACAGTGGGCTGGGCCTGCTGAATCCTTGGGCCCTCAGCCTGTGTATGCAGGTGCCAGTGATGTTGGTTCTGGGTCTCAGGGCTCCAGGCAGCATGCTGTTACCAATGATGGTAGCAGCAGGCCAGGTGAGTGGGTCCTTAGGTCCCTGAGTGGTGTGTATTGCATTAGCAGTGGCAGTAGAGGTGGCACATCAACTCTGGGGTTTCTGAGCAGCATATGCAGGCACCAGTCACGGTGATGGCAGGCTGGGTCCCTGGATATTGTGTGAATTCACTGGTGGTGGTGGGCAGGGCAGGCCTGTCCTCAGACCCCTAAACAGCACATGCGGACAGTGGCTGTGTGGAGGGTGGACCCATCTTCAGGCTCCCAAAAGGCATTTGCAGCTTCCAGTGGTCATGGGCAAGGTGGGTCAAACCCTACACCCCCAGACAACGCAAGCAGGTGCTGGTAGCGGTAGCGGTGCATGGGGCAGGCCTGTCCTGACATCCCTGCAGTGTGTGTGTGGGCCCTGGTTGTGGTGGGTGGAGTGGGTTAATCCCTAGGCCCCTGGACAATGTCCATAGGAACTATCAGTAGCGGGCAGAGTAGATCTGTCCTCAGACCCCCCAATGCTGCATGTGGGCACTGGTAGTGGTGGACAGGGAAGGTCAATTCCCAGGCCCTTGGACTGAGCTCTTAGGTGTTGGTGGTGATGAGTGAGATAGGCCTGTCCTCAGGCCCCACAGTGGTGTGCAAGAGTGTTGGCTGCAGTGGGTGGGATACACCCCAGGACTCTGGATTGCACTCGGGTGCCAGCAGCAGGCATGGCAGGCCTGTCTTTAGGCCTGAGGATGGTACACGTCGGCACCAGCAGCAGTGGGTGGAATGGACCTGTCCTTGGGTCCTGGGATGGCACACAGGCAGACTGGCCCCCAGTCTCCTTAAAGGTACATGCTGGTGTGTGGCAGGCCTCCTATTGGAGAAGTCGGGGTTGCTGTCAGTGGCAGCAATGCTGGTTAGGCAACCCTTAGGCTCTAGGGAGAGCATGCTTTGGCTCCATTTGTCCCAGGTTCAGCCTCCCTGTTGCATTGCACCACCCATTTCCCAGGGTGTAAGATACTGTGTGGGCTAGAGTGCTGGGAACCTGGCTGCACTGCTGGGTCCAGCTGGCATCGCAACACCGCAACCCTCTGGGTAGATGTAGGGGAATCTCAGCAGGGTCAGGGATGTGAAGATGCAAGGGCTGTTGGGCTCCAGAGCAGGATGCAGTGTGGTGGGGGCTGGACTCTCAAAATAGCACTGTGCTGCAACTTGTTGGGTCTTGGGGTTTGTGTGGAACCCAGCATAAACCCCCTTTCTGGACCTGTGCTGTCTCATGCACTCAGGGCATCTTTCTTCAGCACTCTCAGTATCCATGAGGGCCGAGTGTCCTGTGGCCAGGATTGTAGGCATCCTCGATGTGAATATAGATTTTTAGGGAGCTCTCACTTAATTCTTCCCTACAATGGGAAGTTCCCTCTCATTCTGAGCCATTCCTGGCCAGGCCAGCTGCTTTGCCTTTCCTTCTGTCTCTTCTCTGCTGGGTTCCAATGTTCTCTTTTAGACATGTGGTTATCTATCCCCTGTCTTCGTCCTTCTTTGTGGAAGAGGCAAATGCTGGGTACCTCTAATCAGCCACCCTGGAGCCCACCTCTAACATTCTTCTGATGGTTTTGAATTTTCGGGTTTTTAACCTCAAAGAGCTCTTTTTTTTATTGTTTTATTTTTGTAATAGCAGATGTATATAGGTATAGTTTGTGGTGGATGCAATATCGGTTGATATCTCTGAAAATTCTAAGTGGATTTTTAAAATTCTTGATGTTGTTTTTTAGCTTCTCTTCTTCTCCCTGAATTATCTCCATTACCTCTGGGATCAGTTTTTGCTATTTACTTGTCTTGAATATTTTCTTACACATGCTGGTAAATTCTGCTTAGTGATCCTAGGTTTTCTCTTTGCATTTACAACAAATGACTGAGTAGTTGGGATGGGTTTACTTTTATATTAGTAGGTCTATTTCCTGATATACTTTCTCATTCCTTTAGTGGGAAGTCTGACTGGAAACCCCATGTAGTTGAGGGGGAGAGGTTCACTGACAGGACTGTTTTAGGATAAGTGAGCAGGGAGCCAGCAATCAGGTACTAATCTCCCAAATTCCAGATTGAGGAAGGCTTTACTTTGAGACTCAAATTTCCATACCATAATCCATAGATGTTCTCCTATGGTTTATTCAAGAGGTTTGTTCAGGAAGTATTGATAACAATGATAAAAACTATTGATATTGCTACTATTTATATAGTATCATGTGCTAGACACTGTCTTAAGCACATCACATATGTAAATTCATTTACTACTTACAAAAATCTTATGAGTTAGGTACTATTATTATCCCGCTTTCATGCACAGGGAAATGGAGGCACAGAGAGGTTAAATAATCTGCCCAAAGTTACAGAGTTAGTAAATGGCAGAAGCAGACTTTGAACCAAGATAACTTGCTCCACAGTCCATTCTTTTAACCTCCACGTTATGTTGCTGGGCTGATTGCCCTCTGTGAACAGATGGGACACAGGGTAACTAAGCCAAGTAACTAAGGTCATATGCAGACCTTAGTTTTCACACACAGAACTGCTATCTGCTCCAGGTTTCTCTATTTTCTACTAACTCCAAGCTTGTGGTTGCTCCAACTTTGCTACTGGTAAAGCTCCCACCTAATCATAGCCCCTCTTTTAGAAATTCTGTGCTATTTATCTGCCTAGAACCTTCCATCTGCTTCCTGTCATCCAGAAATTTGTTGACATTTCTCATTCACTAATGATCAATGCTCTTCACATCCTTTCCCAAATAACTTTTATTCTTTATTCTTTTTTGTGCTTCTATATTTCTATTTCAGTGGACTCTCAGGAAGCCCGGATCATAAATGTGTGCTCAATTTGCCATCTTGAAATAACTTCGAAAGGAAATATATTTCTATGGATATTTTTGCTCTGTTGAAGTTATGTTGTGCAAAGAAGTATAGATTCAATTGGTACCATTCATTTCCACTTATTTCTTTTACACTTATATATGATTAAGAAAGATATACATTATCACCCTGGGTATAGAATTTAATAAGTATGGGTTCCAAACATATTATTCTGCATAATTTTCACTAGAAGTCCAGCTAGATATTTAATGGGCTGCAGAAAAGCTGTATTTAAGCTGAAATAACTTTCAATGTTCTGAGTGCTTCGGTGAAGCAATACTTTAGGAAAATGTGAGGGATGGTAGTCTGTACTTCAGAATTCAGTGAGTTCCTAAGAAATCATCTGAAGTGGTTGATGGGATGCTTATTCTATGTTTGCAAAATGCTCAATATCAAAACAAAAGAGTTTATTTTTTCTTACAAAATGTTCAGTACTTTTCTTCTATGGCTATTGTAAGAATTAAATCACCTAATAAGTATATATAAAAGCATAAGGACGAGCACATTGTAGGTACTTGGTAAACACTTGGTTGGCCCTTTGTATTATTTTAATTAGGCTAAAACTCCATTGTGGAGTTGTGGAATCAACTCAATCTGAAGCATGAAGGTTAGAATCTGAAAATTTAATTTGATATGCAGAAGAGAATGCAATGTAGAGATGTAGTTAAACTCACAGACTATGGAGTCATACGAACTGAGGTTTGAGTCATATCTCTACCTCTTGGTTGTGTGTCTTCTTATGACTCAGTTTCCTCATCTGTAAAATGGAGATTACAATAGTATCTACTTTGTGCAATTATCAAAAGGATTAAATGGGAGAATGTGTAAAGACTTTAATGCATTATAAAATGGACACGAAGTACTTAGCACGTTATGCAATACATAGTAAATGCTCAATAGATATTATCTGCTATTATAATGATTGATTGCAACACTCATACATTATGAGTATCTTTTACACCTCTAAAATTTTTTCAAAACCATGGAACATGAAGCTACTGGGTGGTAATGTTATCTTCCCAGCACGTTATGCTTTAGAGACTCATTTTCTTTTTTTTTTTTTTTTATTATTATACTTTAAGTTTTAAGGTACATGTGCACAATGTGCAGGTTAGTTACATATGTATACATGTGCCATGCTGGTGAGCTGCACCCACTAACTCGTCATCTAGCATTAGGTATATCTCCCAGTGCTATCCCTCCCCCCTCCCCCCACCCCACAACAGTCCCCAGAGTGTGATGTTCCCCTTCCTGTGTCCATGTGATCTCATTGTTCAATTCCCACCTATGAGTGAGAATATGCGGTGTTTGGTTTTTTGTTCTTGCGATAGTTTACTGAGAATGATGATTTCCAGTTTCATCCATCTCCCTACAAAGGACATGAACTCATCATTTTTTATGGCTGCATAGTATTCAATGGTGTATATGTGCCACATTTTCTTAATCCAGTCTATCATTGTTGGACATTTGGGTTGGTTCCAAGTCTTTGCTATTGTGAATAGTGCCACAATAAACATACGTGTGCATGTGTCTTTATAGCAGCATGATTTATAGTCCTTTGGGTATATACCCAGTAATGGGATGGCTGGGTCAAATGGTGTTTCTAGTTCTAGATCCCTGAGGAATCGCCACACTGACTTCCACAATGGTTGAACTAGTTTACAGTCCCACCAACAGTGTAAAAGTGTTCCTATTTCTCCACATCCTCTCCAGCACCTGTTGTTTCCTGACTTTTTAATGATTGCCATTCTAACTGGTGTGAGATGGTATCTAATTGTGGTTTTGATTTGCATTTCTCTGATGGCCAGTGATGATGAGCATTTTTTCATGTGTTTTTTGGCTGCATAAATGTCTTCTTTTGAGAAGTGTCTGTTCATGTCCTTTGCCCACTTTTTGATGGGGTTGTTTGTTTTTTTCTTGTAAATTTGTTTGAGTTCATTGTAGATTCTGGATATTAGCCCTTTGTCAGATGAGTAGGTTGCAAAAAATTTTTCCCATTTTGTAGGTTGCCTGTTCACTCTGATGGTAGTTTCTTTTGCTGTACAGAAGCTCTTTAGTTTAATTAGATCCCATTTGTCAATTTTGTCTTTTGTTGCCATTGCTTTTGGTGTTTTAGACATGAAGTCCTTGCCCATGCCTATGTCCTGAATGGTAATGCCTAGGTTTTCTTCTAGGGTTTTTATGGTTTTAGGTCTAACGTTTAAGTCTTTAATCCATCTTGAATTAATTTTTGTATAAGGTGTAAGGAAGGGATCCAGTTTCAGCTTTCTACATATGGCTAGCCAGTTTTCCCAGCACCATTTATTAAATAGGGAATCCTTTCCCCATTGCTTGTTTTTCTCAGGTTTGTCAAAGATCAGATAGTTGTAGATATGCGGCGTTATTTCTGAGGGCTCTGTTCTGTTCCATTGATCTATATCTCTGTTTTGGTACCATTACCATGCTGTTTTTGTTACTGTAGCCTTGTAGTACAGTTTGAAGTCAGGTAGTGTGATGCCTCCAGCTTTGTTCTTTTGGCTTAGGATTGACTTGGCGATGCGGGCTCTTTTTTGGCTCCATATGAACTTTAAAGTAGTTTTTTCCAATTCTGTGAAGAAAGGCATTGGTAGCTTGATGGGGATGGCATTGAATCTGTAAATTACCTTGGGCAGTATGGCCATTTTCACGATATTGATTCTTCCTACCCATGAGCATGGGTTCTTCCATTTGTTTGTATCCTCTTTTATTTCATTGAGCAGTGGTTTGTAGTTCTCCTTGAAGAGGTCCTTCACATCCCTTGTAAGTTGGATTCCTAGGTATTTTATTCTCTTTGAAGCAATTGTGAATGGGAGTTCACTCATGATTTGGCTCTCTGTTTGTCTGTTATTGGTGTATAAGAATGCTTGCGATTTTTGTACATTGATTTTGTATCCTGAGACTTTGCTGAAGTTGCTTATCAGCTTAAGGAGATTTTGGGCTGAGACAATGGGGTTTTCTAGATATACAATCATGTCATCCGCAAACAGGGACAATTTGACTTCCTCTTTTCCTAATTGAATACCCTTTATTTCCTTCTCTTGCTTAATTGCCCTGGCCAGAACTTCCAACACTATGTTGAATAGGAGTGGTGAGAGAGGGCATCCCTGTCTTGTGCCAGTTTTCAAAGGGAATGCTTCCAGTTTTTGCCCATTCAGTATGATATTGGCTGTGGGTTTGTCATAGATAGCTCTTATTATTTTGAAATATGTTCCATCAATACCTAATTTATTGAGAGTTTTTAGCATGAAGGGTTGTTGAATTTTGTCAAAGGCCTTTTCTGCATCTATTGAGATAATCATGTGGTTTTTGTCTTTGGCTCTGTTTATATGCTGGATTATATTTATTGATTTGTGTATATTGAACCAGCCTTGCATCCCAGGGATGAAGCCCACTTGATCATGGTGGATAAGCTTTTTGATGTGCTGCTGGATTCCGTTTGTCAGTATTTTATTGAGGATTTTTGCATCAATGTTCATCAAGGATATTGGTCTAAAATTCTCTTTTTTGGTTGTGTCTCTGCCAGGCTTTGGTATCAGAATGATGCTGGCCTCATAAAATGAGTTAGGGAGGATTCCCTCCTTTTCTATTGATTGGAATAGTTTCAGAAGGAATGGTACCAGTTCCTCCGTGTACCTCTGGTAGAATTCGGTTGTGAATCCATCTGGTCCTGGACTCTTTTTGGTTGGTAAGCTATTGATTATTGCCACAATTTCAGATCCTGTTATTGGTCTATTCAGAGATTCAACTTCTTCCTGGTTTAGTCTTGGGAGAGTGTATGTGTCGAGGAATTTATCCATTTCTTCTAGATTTTCTAGTTTATTTGCATAGAGGTGTTTGTAGTATTCTCTGATGGTAGTTTGTATTTCTGTGGGATCGGTGGTGATATCCCCTTTATCATTTTTTATTGCATCTATTTGATTCTTCTCTCTTTTTTTCTTTATTAGTCTTGCTAGCGGTCTATCTATTTTGTTGATCCTTTCAAAACACCAGCTCCTGGATTCATTAATTTTTTGAAGGGTTTTTTGTGTCTCTATTTCCTTCAGTTCTGCTCTGATTGTAGTTATTTCTTGCCTTCTGCTAGCTTTAGAATGTGTTTGCTCTTGCTCTTCTAGTTCTTTTAATTGTGATGTTAGGGTGTCAATTTTAGATCTTTCCTGCTTTCTCTTGTGGGCATTTAGTGCTATAAATTTCCCTCTACACACTGCTTTGAATGCATCCCAGAGATTCTGGTATGTTGTGTCTTTGTTCTCATTGGTTTCAAAGAACATCTTTATTTCTGCCTTCATTTTGTTATGTACCCAGTAGTCATTCAGGAGCAGGTTGTTCAGTTTCCATGTAGTTGAGCAGTTTTGAGTGAGATTCTTAATCCTGAGTTCTAGTTTGATTGCACTGTGGTCTGAGAGATAGTTTGTTATAATTTCTGTTCTTTTACATTTGCTGAGGAGAGCTTTACTTCCAAGTATGTGGTCAATTTTGGAATAGGTGTGGTGTGGTGCTGAAAAAAATGTATATTCTGTTGATTTGGGGTGGAGAGTTCTGTAGATGTCTATTAGGTCTGCTTGGTGCAGAGCTGAGTTCAATTCCTGGATATCCTTGTTGACTTTCTGTCTCGTTGATCTGTCTAATGTTGACAGTGGGGTGTTAAAGTCTCCCATCATTAATGTGTGGGAGTCTAAGTCTCTTTGTAGGTCACTCAGGACTTGCTTTATGAATCTGGGTGCTCCTGTATTGGGTGCATATATATTTAGGATAGTTAGCTCTTCTTGTTGAATTGATCCCTTTACCATTATGTGATGGCCTTCTTTGTCTCTTTTGATCTTTGTTGGTTTAAAGTCTGTTTTATCAGAGACTAGGATTGCAACCCCTGCCTTTTTTTGTTTTCCATTTGCTTGGTAGATCTTCCTCCATCCTTTTATTTTGAGCCTATATGTGTCTCTGCACATGAGATGGGTTTCCTGAATACAGCACACTGATGGGTCTTGACTCTTTATCCAATTTGCCAGTCTGTGTCTTTTAATTGGAGCATTTAGTCTATTTACATTTAAAGTTAATATTGTTATGTGTGAATTTGATCCTGTCATGATGATGTTAGCTGGTGATTTTGCTCGTTAGTTGATGCAGTTTCTTCCTAGTCTCGATGGTCTTTACATTTTGGCATGATTTTGCAGCAGCTGGTACTGGTTGTTCTTTTCCATGTTTAGTGCTTCCTTCAGGAGCTCTTTTAGGGCAGGCCTGGTGGTGACAAAATCTCTCAGCATTTGCTTGTCTGTAAAGTATTTTATTTCTCCTTCACTTATGAAGCTTAGTTTGGCTGGATATGAAATTCTGGGTTGAAAATTCTTTTAAGAATGTTGAATATTGGCCCCCACTCTTTTCTGGCTTGTAGAGTTTCTGCCGAGAGATCCGCTGTTAGTCTGATGGGCTTCCCTTTGAGGGTAATCCGACCTTTCTCTCTGGCTGCCCTTAACATTTTTTCCTTCATTTCAACTTTGGTGAATCTGACAATTATGTGTCTTGGAGTTGCTCTTCTCGAGGAGTATCTTTGTGGCGTTCTCTGTATTTCCTGAATCTGAACGTTGGCCTGCCTTGCTAGATTGGGGAAGTTCTCCTGGATAATATCCTGCAGAGTGTTTTCCAACTTGGTTCCATTCTCCCCATCACTTTCAGGTCCACCAGTCAGACGTAGATTTGGTCTTTTCACATAGTCCCATATTTCTTGGAGGCTTTGCTCATTTCTTTTTATTCTTTTTTCTCTAAACTTCCCTTCTCCCTTCATTTCATTCATTTCATCTTCCATTGCTGATACCCTTTCTTCAAGTTGATCACATCGGCTCCTGAGGCTTCTGCATTCTTCACGTAGTTCTTGAGCCTTGGTTTTCAGCTCCATCAGCTCCTTTAAGCACTTCTCTGTATTGGTTATTCTAGTTATACATTCTTCTAAATTTTTTTCAAAGTTTTCAACTTCTTTGCCTTTGGTTTGAATGTCCTCCCATAGCTCAGAGTAATTTGATCGTCTGAAGCCTTCTTCTCTCAGCTCGTCAAGGCGTTCTCCGTCCAGCTTTGTTCCGTTGCTGGTGAGGAACTGCGTTCCTTTGGAGGAGGAGAGGTGCTCTGCTTTTTAGAGTTTCCAGTTTTTCTGTTCTGTTTTTTTCCCCATCTTTGTGGTTTTATCTACTTTTGGTCTTTGATGATGGTGATGTACAGATGGGTTTTTGGTGTGGATGTCCTTTCTGTTTGTTAGTTTTCCTTCTAACAGACAGGACCCTCAGCTGCAGGTCTGTTGCAGTACCCTGCCGTGTGAGGTGTCAATGTGCCCTTGCTGGGGGGTGCCTCCCAGTTAGGCTGCTCGGGGGTCAGGGGTCAGGGATCCACTTGAGGAGGCAGTCTGCCCGTTCTCAGATCTCCAGCTGCGTGCTGGGAGAACCACTGCTCTCTTCAAAGCTGTCAGACAGGGACATTTAAGTCTGCAGAGGTTACTGCTGTCTTTTTGTCTATGCCCTGCCCCCAGAGGTGGAGCCTACAGAGGCAGGCAGTCCTCCTTGAGCTGTGGTGGGCTCCACCCAGTTCGAGCTTCCCCGCTGCTTTGTTTACCTAAGCAAGCCTGGGCAATGGCGGGCGCCCCTCCCCCAGCCTCGCTGCCACCTTGCAGTTTGATCTCAGACTGCTGTGCTAGCAATCAGTGAGACTCCGTGGGCATAGGACCCTCCGAGCCATGTGCGGGATATAATCTCCTGGTGTGCCGTTTTTTTAAGCCCGTCAGAAAAGCACAGTATTAGGGTGGGAGTGACCCGATTTTCCAGGTGCCGTCCGTCACCCCTTTCTTTGACTAGGAAAGGGAACTCCCTGACCCCATGCGCTTCCCGAGTGAGGCAACACCTCACCCTGCTTCGGCTCGCGCACGGTGCACGCACCCACTGACCTGCGCCCACTCTCTGGCACTTCCTAGTGAGATGAACCCGGTACCTCAGATGGAAATGCAGAAATCACCCATCTTCTGCGTCGCTCAGGCTGGGAGCTGTAGACTGGAGCTGTTCCTATTTGGTCATCTTGGCTCTGCAAGTCGAGACTCATTTTCTCATCGAGTATTTGGTGGAACTGTAGTCTCTGGGGATGTTTTGAGACAAAAAATTTTATGTTCAAATAAGAAAACAAACCAGGCCAGTCATGGTGGTCCACACCTGTAATCTCAGAACTTTGGGAGGCCCAGGTGGGTAGATCACTTGAGCCCAGGAGTTCGAGACAAGCCTGGGCAACATGGCAAAACTCTGCCTCTACTCAAAAAAAAAAAAAAAAGGCAAAAATTAGCCAGGTGTCATGGTGTGCACCTGTAGTCCCAGCTAATCAGGAGGCTGAGGGAGCAGGAGGTTGCAGTGTCCTGAGATGGCGCCACTGCACTCCAGCCTGGGCAAAAAAAAAAAACAAAAAACATTGCATCCCACTTTGCATAATAAAGGTCTAACAAATTTTACCTTAAAAAAAAATCTCCTTAACTTTATTTAATCCAGAGTTTCCTCCAAACTCCATGTTCACATACTAGCATTTACAACCTCCAGTACCAATGTTATGAAACATATTTTGAGAAATGCTGCTTTCTGTCTTTAGGTCTAAGAACATTCAGTTTTATTTTATTGGGATAGTACTCTTAGTGATTGTTAGATAGGTTTTAACTTCATGCTTCTAACTATCTAAATCACCTAAAATTGTGAGTATCAGTATTTCTAAAGGAAAATACACACAGTTTTAATTATTTCAGGGAAAAAAAGTCAATAACCACTCTAAAACAAGACTTTTGGATACTATGAGAAAATTTTCAACTAAAAAATAGATCAGATTAAATCAATTATCTAGACAGAAGAAAATACTTACTATTAAAGAACACATTAGTTTTGGTAATTGTGTGTTGTGGGGGGTGGGATAATGTGGTAGCTCATCTCCAACGATGGCTTCCAACGAATCACATTTTCTAGCGTTTACTCCCTTCCACATTAAATCTGGGTTCACCCTGTGTATTATTTTAACTAGGAGTATGTGGAAGGTCTGTGACCAAGTCTTTGTGTTTTGGGGGTCCCTGAGCCACCATGCAGGTTCTAGTGGAGAAGCCACATGTAGAGTAGGAGAGACCCTGTGACTATGTAGGAAGAGAAAGAAAAAAAAAAAAGCCCCAGCTATCTGAGTATCCCAGCTGAGATGGACAGGAGGAAGGTAGACAGAAGGCATCAGCTTTCTAAGCTTTCCTCTCAAAAGCCTAGACATGTCTGAGCCACCTTAGACACTGTAGATCAGTTGAATCATTAGATGATTGTAGCTGCAAACGGAATCACATGGAGCAGAAGAATTACCCAGCTGATCCCAGTTAACTCACAGAGTCATGAAAGGGAAAGAGTTATTTTTAAGCCACTAAATTTTGCAGTGGTTTGTTACACAGCAAAGATGACCAAAACAAGCAGCTAATATGGAGGAGTGTGCAGAAAAGTATTCAAATGGCTTGCTCTTCATTTTCTTTTCCTAAACACTAGTTGAATGCATTTAAAATTTGTTCTCAGATTCCCTCTGATAATTCTATGCTGATTGAATTTATAAGATCTTAAAAGGGTAAAAATATCACAAAAATAGCTTGTTGAGATCCTGCAGAAAAACATGTTTTATAGCCACACTCATGCTTTGTGTCAGAACTTTTCTCCTTCAGAGAAAATTGCTAACATTATCTAAAAAGAGAGTTTTTTCAGTTCTGACTTCGCTTTTAAGTTTTAAAAATAATAAAACATTAAAAAGATGAACATAAAAAACAAGCTGTATGTTTAATGAGGAAAAATTATTACTGTATCATTATCATAGACATTTCCAGGTCAGCTTCTGGATTTTTTTCTCTGATGATGATTCTCATTTTAAAAGTGATGAAAATGAGAGATGAAACTATAGTTCACAAGCGGCTTTTTCAGTGTGAGAAATTGAAGGAACGCGGGGCAGAGAATAAGGTCTCACAAGATGGGAGTGTGGTACCCAAGGGCTAGGTGGCATAAAAAGAGAACAAGAGATTTTGTTTGCTTGGTTTTTGTAATTGCTATACATATGAGACTTTGATAAGAGTGATACCAAGACAAGACATCTAGGAAGTTTCTGGATAGTGAATGCATGATACAAAATGCCAATATTTTGCCAATAGTAAAAATATATAAGTTTTTTCTCAAGTTATGCAGGCAAACTGGTGTTTCCTGTGACTGTGACTCTGTAAAGACATTGGGTCATATCCCTTAAGATTTCTAGGATTACACATGAAAAGTCATCATCAAATCAATTAAAAATGATTTATAAGACACTATTTTTAAGTATTGTGTGGGGACAGAGAGAGTGTAAAATTGAAACATTCTTAAGTTAATGGTAATCTAGTAGGAAACTAAGAAATATATTCTGTTATGTTCATAGATATCAGTAGAATAGGATAGCAGAATGTCATAGCTAAATGAAGACTAGGATTGAGAGCTTAGCTATTGGTAAAACTAGAAGGTTTATCACCTCTCTGACAATCAGTTTGCATGAATAAATGTGCACTGATTTGCATTTTCTAGGCAAAGAATAAGGATTTCTTTCCCTTTGTTGCTCTGCCTGGAAGAGCTCCTGATAGAGAAGAAAGGGATGAGGCCAGTGGAGGGGTGGAATGCTTTTCTCTTCTGCCTTGGCTATTGGACTGGTTTGGAGTCTCTGCTCAGTGAGTTATGAGTCAAAATTTAAAAAGCTGATTCATAAAACCTTTCCAAAATAGTAATCCCAAGTAGTGACAGGTAAGGGCCCAGTAGCAAAGTATAGAGCAGTGATGGGGAGGGTGCCACGGTGTCCACACAGTGGGCACTCACTAAATACCTAGTGAACAAACAGCCCTGGGACATTCGGACTGTTGGCTTGGGAGCTGCAGGAATACATGCCCTTGGCCTGGATGTTGCTGGGTATAGTAGGCACTGTTAATATCAGCAGCAAAGCAAAGTTCTTAAGTGGCTTAACAGGAAAAGGACAAGAGGGATGTGAAAAAGAAAAGAAAATCACATCACACAGCGACCAGAGAGATCAAGTTGTTCACAGCACATATGAGATACTTGGGAACTCAAAAGATACATACTGGCAGATGGGAGGAAGAACAGTGGAGGGAGGAGTGGATTTGCATGTACTGGCAGCTGTGGGCAGGAACAGGACATTTATTTCATGAGGATTAAAATGACTTCATTTGTATCTACTGGAGCCTAAGGATGTTTGGTTACATAAGTACAACGTAATAAGAAAAAAACTGAAAGGTTTGCTGTGCTATAGAAGCAAAGAACAAGGGTAGACAAATCCAGACAGGAAGAAAGTTTACATCTGGTTGCAGTATGGTCCTGTTTTATAATGCCATACAGGTTGGGATGTTGGGAAGTTAGTGCCAAAGTGAAAGTGCCAGTCTTCGTGTTATTGACTTCGAGTTTCAATAAAGTGACCTCTTTTAACAGCAAACATCATGTGTTTGGAGAAAATGTTCTCCCTGGGGTGGGGTAGGAGGGATTGTCTTCATTGTGCTGAATAGCTACTGTAGTGATATAAGCTTCTGATTTATCATCTAGCCTTAAACACTTGTCAGTGCATCCGCATGAAAATCTAGGCCAATTTAGTTTGAAGCAGAGCCCAGAAAAGTTCTTGCACAATATACATTTAAGAGGTTTTCTTTGGGCAAAAATAGTTACACCGTGAATTCTGTTCTCAAAGACATCCTTTTCTTCCAAGGTTATGTGGCAGTGACTTCACTTGGCAGTTCTATACTCTGGAACAAAATCTGAAGCAATATAAAAGCCCAGACAAAAAAAAAAAAAAAGCCAAATCACCTTCTCAGGGAAATTAAATGCACAGATATCCTCAAGGCACCAATTAGAGAGAAACAACACTCCCTACAGTGAGAAATATCTAAACCAAACTTCTTGTGGCAACATAAACATTTTTCTTTTTGTACTGTCATATTAAAATTTATATAATGAATTTAATTTTCATAGCCATAAAATAAAGTGTGATATACTATTGGTAACTGTCTAGGAGTGTGATGCTTAAAATAGTTTAGTATGTGGATATGTGAATGAGAACCTTGTTTGGCTGGTTGTTCCTTTTATGAAACTATCCATTTCTTTTGGCATTTCACCTTCTTCCTCTTCGCTTCATTTTCCTCTTCATATTTCCCCTGGATCTATCTGAGTTACCTGACATGTGGTCCTTTGTCTTACAGAGCCATGTAACTGAAAAGCAACTGTAAATGCCTTCCACATTTGGACACAGGTTGTACCTTCGGCTGTTGAATGCCTCTGCCTGTCCTGTTCCCTCAAAGACCTCCCTTCCCCCTGCTACCTTTGTTTCTGTGCCACCATACTTTTTTGACATAGGTTTCCAAGCTGCCTTTATTTTTCCATTTTGGTAGTGCAAGCTCCCAGCCTGACAAACACAACTTCACTATTAGAATCCTTAGGATTTGATGTGATTTATTCATAGTTTCAACCTAGATGGCAACGGTCCTTTTTTTAACTCATGCCCCTCAAGTGTTTATATGACTGTCTTCAAAAAGGATTAGGTAGGAAAAGAACTGGAATATACCTTAACATATTGCATTTGTGCTTTTGCATATATGTGCTTTATCCAAAGCTACACTTTCTTTTCATAATACGTCCTCCTGGCTGAGAGGGAAGAAAATATATCATGGATTAAAATGCCATTTCTGGAAACTCATTTCAGACTGGCATTAAGCAAGCCAAGAAGACAGCATCTTAAAAGATTGTTAATGAGTAATAGACTCAGTATTTATGTTGCCAGGAATGTACAGCAACCAGTCTTCATTAATCACTGATAAGCACATTAGTGAATTATATTGATGAATTGTTCAGAAAAAGACTGGCTCCTAATGATCATTTTAAATACCATATAGAGTGAACATTTTATTTCTATGTTGACCCTAATGTCTCACTAGTATGCAGGAAAGGACCTTACACCTAAACCTGTCACAGGAGAGGGGGCAGGAGGGGAGGAGACAGTGTTGTAGAGTGGTTAGGCAAGGGCTCTGTGGTCAGAAATATCTGTTTTAAAAACTCAGCTGTAGAACATACTGCCTATGGGACCATGGGAAACTTATTTCACCTCTCTACGCCTCCATTTCCCCATCTATAAAAGGAGAGTAAGTTTGTTATAAAGATGATAAGCACATTAGTGAATATGTTGATGAATTGTTTGGAAGAAGACTTTCTGACTTCCAAAATGATGCATCTGGCGTAGTAAGCAGAGTGCCTGGTGGAGAATCTACTTTCAAAATGGCTGGAGGCTGACATTTGTCATTCTTTTTGACTGTCCATTAACTTCACTGATTTACTATGTTTGGAAAATTCCTTATGTTATGGGCTTAATTGGGATGCAAAACCAGGGTTTCACTAACAGAACCTTCCAGAAAATACCAGATTTTTCCTTTCCCAGCCTCCCATGTGGCTTGAGTGGCCATGTGACCTAGGCTCAGTCAATCAGACACTCATACACAGATTGAGTCAGGAGTTAAGAATCATGAAAGGGCAGGATAGGGGAATGTGTCCTGGTGATAGAGGGTGGTAGCTCTAATAGCTCATGCAGTCTGTGGGGAAGCAGAGTTGCAGTGCTGTGGAAGCTTCCAGAGTTCTAACTCTGGCAGAAGTGCTGCAAGTGCTGATATCCAGGGTACAGCAGTGGGGGCAGCAAGTCCTCTCTGGACTGGATTTTTGACATGAAATGTGGTCCTACCTGCTGCCTTGCCTTTCTTGTTTCTGCCCATTCTGAGTCTAGTTCCCCAGCCTTTCCAGTGATTCTGTGAACTAATGAATTTCATTTCAATAAATTCTATTTTTCCTTAAGTCAGGAAGAATTTATTTCCATTGCTCAGCTTGAAGTATTCTGACTACAGTGTCCATTATTGTCCATTTTTGAGCTATGTACTTTTACTGAATTCATCTGGAAACATATTCTGGAAGGACTGTTATTTTATCTTAGTTCACAAACATCATGAGGGCAGCAACTGCATTTGCCTTGTTTACCCTGTGTCCTCAGTACCCAGAAAAATATCTGGTTGTGTAGTATATGCTTAATGAATATCGACTGACTAAATGAGTGAATTATGGGTACAGAAAGAGCAATTGCTATGACATATTCTAGTCTCCTCCCCAGAGAGGTCACAAATCACATATAAAGCAATTATAGTCTGGTATTCCTGCTAAAAGAAAAGATACAAGGTGGGAGAATTACTACTTGACGGTTTTTGATTCACAATTCATGAGCATTTTCTAGAGTGGAAGGGAAGAATATTCTAGATAGGAATTTCTGCACTTATAACTTTGGCTATATAGAAATAGGGAAATCAAAATATTCCCTTCTCATGACAACTGGCTGAATGATCTCTATGAAAGACAAAATTTTTAAGCATCAAAAGGCAAATAAAACAGTGAGAAATTTCCAGGCTGATATCCAGAAGGTAAGGATGAGCACCTCACTCGGAGCTGTTTTTGCCCTGGTGACATTTGCTGAGCCAGTAGAAGCAGCTAAGATACCCAACGGTAGTGGTGGCCTCTCAGTGCTAAGGGGGACATATAAAGTATAAGGCCCATCAAAGGCAGGATCCCAGAAATTCACCGCTTGACTTTGGGCTGGGACCTAGCGAGCACTGCCTTCTGGGTCAAAGTAAATTGGCAGGAAGTCCTCACAGTGATTACATCCCAACTTTGCGTCACTGAGCAGCCAAGGAAACCTCACACTTTGAAACTGGATTAAAGTTGTATTGGACAGCTAGCACTCCCTCATGCCTGGCTGAGGAAAATTAAAATCCTCTCCAGAAGGTGACTTGACTTTATGCCTCAAATTATTTCTACAAATAATTTTTCAAATATACAAGTGGAACATTGGTAAAAAAAGACAACATGAGTGAGCACCAATAAAACATATCAAATAACAAAACCCCCAGGGACCACAATACTGGAATTATCAGAAACAGAATATGAAACATGCTTAGAATATTCAGGGAGATAAAGAATGGGCATAAAATGTGTGGGAACAAAAACTATAACATTCAGTAAAACAAAAATAGAAATTCCAACTAAAATTTACAATAAAAATTTGAAACTTAATAGATGGGTTTAGAAGCAAATTAAACACAGCTGAAGAGAAGATAGATTAGGAGAAATTATCCAGAAAGAAGCATGAAAACACAAAAAGATGGAAAATGTAGACAAGTAAGTAAAAGACAGAGGAGAGGTGAGAGGGTTTAACATATTTTTAACTAAAAGAGATAAACAGAAATGTGGCAGAAGCAATTTAGAGGTAATGACTTAGAATTGCCCAGGACTGATGAAATATATCAATTCACCATCAGAAGCCTAACAAATCCCAAGTATGATTTTTTTTTTTTTTTTTAAAGAAAGAAACCCAAATTCACATAGTGATTGCAGAAAACCAAAGCTGAAAAGGAGAGAGACAGATTTTCTTCAGAGGAGCAACACTTACACTAAAAACTCACTTTTCAACAGCAATCATGGAAGCTAGAAGATCGTAAAATAGCATGCTGAAAGAAAATAACTAATGACTCGGAACTTTTTTTTTTTTTTTTTTTTGAGACGGAGTCTGCTCTGTTGCCCAGGCTCGAGTGCCGTGGCCCGATCTCGGCTCACTGCAACCTCCGCCTCCCGAGTTCTCACCATTCTCCTGCCTCAGCCTCCCAAGTAGCTGGGACTACAGGTGCCCGCCACCGCACCCAGTTAATTTTTTTGTATTTTAAGTACAGACGGTGTTTCACCGTGTTAGCCAGAATGGTCTCGATCTCCTGACCTCATGATCCGCCAGCCTCAGCCTCCCAAAGTGCTGGGATTATAGGCATGAGCCACCGCGCCCAGCCACGACTTAGACCTTTTATCCCTTGAAAATATTCTACAAGAAAGAAGGTGAAATGAAACATATTTTCAGAAAAACAGAAACTGAGAGATTTTACAATAAACCAATATACACTAAAGGACATTTTAAAGGTATATTTTGGGCAGAAGGAAAATTATGCCAAATGAAAGTTTAGAGATGCAAGAAGGACTGAAGGACAAAAAAAAGTTATAAATATGTGGGTAAATCAAAATGAAAGTTAACTATATACAACAAAAATAATGTCTTGCAGCATTTGTAAAATAATATGTAAAGAGAGAATATTATATATTGCGTATAAGTGGGAAGCAAAAATGAAATCCTAAAAACTAATCAATCCATAAGAAGGCAAAAAAGATGAAGGAAAAGAATATGGAATAGTTAGCAAAACTAGAAATTGCATAATCTGAAACCAAATAATTAGTAATTATATTAAATGTAAATAGACTAAATATTCCAGTTAAAGGAAAAAATAGATTCTCAGAATATATTAAAAATAACCTAATACTCAACTGTAGGTAACTTGCAAGAGATCGATCTAAAACATGAGGATATCAAAAAACTGAAAGTAATGGAAGGAAAAAGATCTACCATGCAAGCATTAGTTAAAAGAAAGCTGGTGTAACAATATTGTGTAAGGCAGATTACTAGAGAAAAGTCAGTCACTTCATAATGGTTAAATGTTCAATTCACCAGAAAGATGTGAGAATTTCCTATTGCTATACACTTAATAATAATAAAATGTACACAAGGGAACGGTGGCTCATGCCTATAATCCCAGTACTTTGGGAGGCTAAGGCAGGCAGATTGCTTGAGTCCAGGTGTTCAAGACCAGTCTGGGCAACATGGCAAAACCCCATCTCTACTAAAAATACACAAAATTAGCCAGGTGTGGTGGCACACACCTGTGGTCCCAGATACTTGGGAGGCTAAGGGCTAAGGTGGGAGCCCCAGGAGGTCAAGGCTGCAGTGAGCCAAGATGGTACCACTGCAGTCCAGCCTGGGCAACAGAGTGAGACCCTGACTCAAAAAAAAAAAAAAAAGTTCACAAAGCACACAAGTATCAGGAAAACTAGGCAAATTCCCAATCACAGTAAGAAATTTTTAAATACCTTTTTCTATAATATATATAACAAGCAGATGAAAATTAGTGAAATACAGAAAATTTGAAAGCACCATTAGCAAACAACCTATTGGATGTTTTGAAAACACTGCTCTTAACAACTGTGGGACACATTCTTTTTACAAACATACAGATGACTGACAAAATTTATTACATATTTGATATCAGAAGACTGAAATTATATAAAGTTAGTTCTCTGACTACAATGTAGTTATGCTGAAAAATTAATAACAAAGTATAAAATCTGTATGTGCTTAGAAATTAAGAAGTTTATCAATAGCTTATTAGTTAAATAAGTTATAATAAAAATTAGAAAGTATTTTCAACCAAATAACAAAATTACATAGTAAATTTATTTATTTGTTTGTTTATTTTGGAGATGGAGTCATGCTGTGTCACCCAAGCTGGAGTGCAGTAGCACGATCATAACTTACTGCAGCCTCAAATTCCTGGGCTCAAGCAATCCTCCCACTTCAGCCTCCTTACTTAGGAGGAGTAGCTGAGATTACAGGTGCATGCCATCATGCCTGGCTACATACTAAAATTCGTGGAATGCAGTCAAAGCAGTAATTCATGAAAACTACATAGCCTAAAATGCACTTTTTTTTTAAGAAAACCCCACAAGAAGTGAGCTAACCGTCCATCTTAAGTAATTACAAAAAAGAATAGCAATATAAATTTGAGGAAAGTAGGATAAGGGCAAATTAAATAAACTGAAAATAAACGCATATTAAAAATGACAGTAAGGCAAGAAGTTTCTTCTTTGGTAAGGAAAATGAGCAATAGTACAAGTATTGACACCAAGAAGGAAAAATCAAATATTGCTATAAAACTGGCAGTTGATTAAAAGGTAATAAGGATATTATAAAAATATTATGCAAAAAAGTTGAACATTTAGATGAAATGGACATATTTGTATAAACATACAACTTACCAAAACTGAAACAACACAAAAATAAATAGAAAATCTGTGAGCTTCTATTACTATTTGTCTTAATTCTTTTGTTCTCCTTTAATGAAATGCTACAGACTGGATAATTTATAAATAATAGACATTTCCCACAGTTCTGGAGGCTGGGAAGTCCAAGATCAAAGCACCAGCAAGAGCTGCTCTCTGCTTCCAAGATAGCACCTTGTCGCTGCATCCTATGGAGGGAGGAATGCTGTGTTTTCATGTGGCGGAAGGGTAAGAGAGCAAACCCATTCCCTCAAGCCCTTTTCATAGGGCCCTAATCCTATTCATGAGGCCTCTACCCTCATGACTTAATTACCTCTTAAAGGCCTCACCTCTTAATACTGTCACACTGGTGATTACATTTCATGTATTAATTTCAGGGACACATTCAAACCACAGCACTATTAAGATAAATTAAATGTTTAATTCTAAAACTTTCCACAAAGATAACTACAGGTGTAGTTAGATTAAAACCAATTAAAAATAAATAAACCAATGAACAGAAATTTTTTTTCAAGGTCATCTCCAAAAGTCTTCAAGGAATGCAATTTGTGTTCTCCTAAAAGATTGCTGTCACAGGGAAAAGATACAGTAAAATAACAGACTTTGGCTACTAGGCATCTACTCTAAATTTCATTCCCTTAAAAGACATCAGATATATTTTTTTACCTGATGATAATTGCATATCTCTGAATATGTATGGGAGGGGGAGGAAGACCAAAAAGGAACTGCTGCTCTGGACTTAATTATATCAGAGAAACACTATTCTGTGAAATGGAAATGAAGGCACCCTTGTCCTTGAGAACAGAACCTGGATCCTGATGGAGGAGACAGGCAGAGAAGCCATTTACTGGGGCCTCACGGTTATGAATGACCTCAGGTTTAGACTTTGGTGTTACCTTCAAATGAGGTTATACACAGCCACTGCAATGTTTGTGCACACATGTGTGCACTCTGAAAGTTTTAATTTTTTTTTTTTTTTGAGACGGAGTTTCATTCTTGTTGTCCAGGCTGGAGTGCAATGGCATGATCTCAGCTCACTGCAACCTCCGCCTCCTGGGTTCAAGCAATTCTCCTGCCTCAGCCTCCCAAGTAGCTGGGATTACAGGCATGAGCCACCACGCCCGGCAACTTTTGTATTTTTAGTAGAGACGGAGTTTCTCCATGTTGGTCAGGCTGGTCTTGAACTCACAACCTCAGGTGATCTGCCCACCTCAGCCTCCCAAAGTGCTGGGATTAGAGGTGTGAGCCACCACACCTGGCCAGTTTTAATTTGTTAAATGGTAACATCTAAAAAGTACCAACAACATTTTCATAGCCCCATTTTGGCATTAACTCATTTTTAAATATACTTTTAAAAATGAAAGTTATCAGGACTTTGCAAATCTCTGAGGTTTTGATTGAAGAATAGGTAGGAGAGATGGGTCTCCAGCTATTTTACTTCACCTAGGTGGGCCATCATCAATAGGGCTTGGAAACCCCTGATTTTCCTATGCAATGCAGGAATTTTTCCTGTTTTACTCTCTTGGTGATGACTTTGTCGTCCACCAGCTGCCCAAGAGAGAAATATGGGAATCATCTGGACTCCTCCCTCTGGCTGAATCTCATGCTTTCTCACATTTCTTACACTCTGCACCTTGGAACACCTGATTCTGTGTCCTGAATGAAACTACTTTTTCACTTTTGTCTGTAAGCACTTCCCATCCTAGAACCCACATGGCCATGTTAACTTCTACTCAGCTCAGAAATTATTCCCCGCTAGGAAGCCCTGGCTGACCCGCCCTGCACCCTCATCTCCCCCGCTAGGCTGATCCCACAGCCTATACTCTTAGCTTTTAATTTTACTGATTAAAAAAAAAAAACAACTCAAAATGCATTCATTTTAGGGTTTGGACATATCTTGTCATAGAGCCCTCCACAAAAGTAAAACCAACATGCACTTCCTCCAAGAGTCTGTAAGAAAGCCCAGTTTCCCTGGAAAACATTGACTCTTATTGCCAAAAACAACAACAGCAATTTAAAGAGAATAATTAATAAGTTGTGTTTTAATCTTCAGATCTTAGATAACTAGTGATATTTAACCCATATTTTTTTCTCTTAGAGTTTTATTGCAAACAGATTTTCTGGGATGTTCAATTTTTTTCTTACTGATGTATATATAGCTCCTCATAGAGTGACATCATTTAAATGATGTTTATAATATAATTTGTAATTGTTTCAAGTTTGACACATTATTTATCTCTTTCTGTGTAATGGTATCTTGTTCATTTACTGGGTTACTTGTTTATTGTCTGTCTTCCCCTCCTCGAATGTAAGTTCCATGATATTGAGAACTTACATCTATCTTGGTCACAACTACATCTCTAGCATCTAGTATAAGGCATGGCGCATGAGCAATAAATGTTGAATGAATGAAATACATAAACACTCACTATAGGCCAGGCCCTGTGGTGGTGCTGAGGATGTAGGGGTAAAAAACAAACAACAAACAAACAAAAATCCCCTGACTTCATGACACTTAAAGCACAGTCCAGGGCTGACTTGAAGTATGTTCTTAGAACCATAAAATTATGGGCTTCAAAGCCAGTAGGATTCTTATATAAAGGGGATTGAAACCAAAGGGACCAGCTTCTAACATGCACCACCACCCCCATCATCCTTGCCTCCTGGTATTCATACTTTTGTAAAATTTCTTCCCCTTGAGTGTAAGCTAGATCTAGTGACTGCCTTAAAACAAATGAAACATGACAAATATGATGGATACTACATCCAAGATTAAATTACAGATAGATTTTGATTATTTTGGTCACTCTGCCTCACTGTTTCTTGCAGAGCCTTTGTTCTGGGGGAAGCAAGTTCCCATATTGTGAGTGGCTCCATGGAGAGGGCCACCAGGCAGAGAACTGAGTGAGGGGAGCCAATAAAGAACTGAGACCCTCAGACCAACATATCACAAGGAACTGAATTTTGCATCAACAAGATTAGGGAGTTCAGAAGCAGATCTTCCCTCAGTCAAGCCTTCAGATGAGACCACATCCCTGGCTAATAACCTGACTGTAACCTACAGAAAGACCTTGAGCCAGAGACACCCAGCTAAGTTTCACTCTGATTCTTGACCCACAGAAACTGTGAGATAATAAATGTTTGTTGTTTTAAGCCACTAAGTTTTGGGGTATTTGTGTTAGACAATGATAGATAATTAGTACACAGGCCTAGGAATTTTCTGTGTGATTTTCCCAAGTTCATGCCCACAGTAATGCAGTGGTGAGTTACATCTAGAATTCACATTACTTCCATGATTCCCCATGCTCTTATCTCCCTTTGATGTAAAAGGAATGGAAAAAGCAGCAAGCCAGTAAAAGCAGAAAAAACACCTTTGACAAAAAGAGTCAAATTCTGTAAAATATTTGAAGAGATTTATTCTGAGCCAAATATGAGTGACCATGGCCCCATGACACAAACCTCTCAGGAGGTCCTGAGAACATGTGCCCAAGGCAGTTGTGGTGCAACTTGGTTTTATACATTTTAGGGAGGCATGAGACATCAAATATATTTAAGAAATGAATTGGTTTGATCCAGAAAGTTGGGACAACTCAAAGTATGGTGGTGGCGCAGTGGTGGTGGGGCTTCCAGGCAATAGGTAAATTTAAACAATTTTAGGTTTACAATTGGATGAGTCTGTCTAAAGACCTGGGATTGATAGAAAGGAAATGTTCAAGTTAAGATAAAAGATTGTGGAGACTAAGGATCTTTTGAAGTCTAATAGTCTTATAGATGACAAGTGTTTCCTATTCAGACCTTTAAAATGTACTAGACTCTTAATCTCTTTAGGATTGGGAGAGCCTGGAAGAAAAAGATCTAGCTATGTTAACAGAGATTCTTTTTTTTTCATGTATATTTTATTATTTACACATTAGGTACTACACATCTGTCTTAGTCCATTCAGGCTGCTATAACAATATCCTTTGGACTGAATACTTTATAAATAGTAGAAATTTATTCCTCACAATTCTGAAGGCTGGGAAGTCCAAGATCCAGATGCCAGCAGGTTTAGTGCCTGGTGAAGGTTGGCTGTCTGATTCCAAGATGTTGCCTTCTTGCTGCATCTTCATATGGCGGAGGGAAAAAGGGACAGACTTGCTCCCTCCATCCCTTTTAATTTTTTATTATACTTTAAGTTCTGGGGTACATGTGCAGAATGTGCAGATTTGTTACATAGGTATACACGTGCCATGGTGGTTTGCTGCACCCATCAACCCATCATGTACATTAGGTATTTCTCCTAATGATATCCCTCCCCCAGCCCCCGACCCCCTGACTGGCCTCATTGTATGATGCCCCCAACCCCTGTGTCCATGTGTTCTCATTGTTCAACTCCCACTTATGAGTGAGAACAAGTGGTGTTTGGTTTTCTGTTCTTGTGTTAGTTTGCTGAGAATGATGGTTTCCAGTTTCATCCATGTCCCTGCAAAGGACATGAACTCATCCCTTTTTATGGCTGTATAATATTCCTTGGTATATATGTGCCACATTTCCTTTATGCACTCTATCATTGATGAGCATTTGAGTTGATTCTAAGTCTTTGCTATTGTGAACAGTGCTTCCAAAATAAACATATGTGTGCATGTGCCTTTATAGTAGAATGATTTATAATCATTTGTGTATATACCCAGTAATGGGATTGCTGGGTCAAATGGTAAGTATTTCTCTGGTTCTAGATCCTTGAGGAATCACCACACTGTCTTCCACAATGGTTGAACTAATTTACACTCCCACCAACAGTGTAAAAGTGTTCCTATTTCTCCACATCCTCTCCGGCATCTGTTGTTTCCTGACTTTTTAATAATCACCATTCTAACTGGCATGAGATGGCATCCCATTGTGGTTTTGAGTTGCATTTCTCTAATGACCAGAGATGATGAGCTTTTTTCCCTATGTTTCTTGGCCACATAAATGTCTTCTTTTGAGATGTGTCTGTTCATATCCTTCACCCACTTTTTGATGGGGTTTTTTCTTGTAAATTTGTTTAAGTTCTTTGTAGATTCTGGATATTAGCCGTTTGTCAGATGGATAGATTGCAAAAATTTTCTCCCATTCTGTAGGTTGCCTGTTCACTCTGATGATAGTTTCTTTTGCTGTGCAGAAGCTCTTTAGTTTAATCAGATCCCATTTGTCTATTTTGGCTTTTGTTGCCATTGCTTTTGGTGTTTTAGTCATGAAGTCTTTGCCCATGCCTATGTCTTGAATAGTACTGCCCAGGTTTTCTTCTAGGGTTTTTATGGTTGTAGGTCTTATGTTTAAGTCTTTATTCCATCTTGAGTTAATTTTTGTATAAGGTGTAAGGAAGAGGTCTAGTTTCAGCTTTCTGCATATGGCTAGCCAGTTTTCCCAACACCATTTATTAGATAGGGAATCCTTTCCCCATTGCTTGTTTTTGTCAGGTTTGTCAAAGATCAGATGGTTGTAGATGTGTGATGTGATTTCTGAGGCCTCTGTTCTGTTCCATTGGTCTATATATCTGTTTTGGTGCCAGTACCATGCTGTTTTTGTTACTGTAGCCTTGTAGTATAGTTTGAAATCAGGTAGCGTGATGCCTCCAGCTATGTTCTTTTTGCTTAGGATTGTCTTGGCTACGTGGGCTCTTTTTTGGTTCCATATGAAACTTAAAGTAGTTTCTTCCAATTTAGTGAAGAAAGTCAATGGTAGCTTGATGGGGATAGCATTGAATCTATAAATTACTTTGGGCAGCATGGACATTTTCACAATATTGATTCTTCCTATCTGTGACCATGGAATGCTTTTCCATTTGTTTGTGTCCTATCTTATTTCCTTGAGCAGTGGTTTGTAGTTCTCCTTGAAGAGGTCCTTCACATCCTTTGTAAGTTGTACTCCTAGGTATTTTATTCTGTTTGTTTTGGCTGTTTGTCTGTTATTGGTATATAGGAATGCTTGTGATTTTTGCACATTGATTTTATATCCTGAGACTTTTCTGAAATTGCTTATCATCTTAAGGAGATTTGGGGCTGAGACTATACGGTTTTCTAAATACACAATCATGTCATCTGCAAAGAGACAATTTGACTTCCTCTTTTCTTAATTGAGTACCCTTTCTTTCTTTCTCTAGCTTGATTGCCCTGGCCAGAACTTCCATACTATGTTGAATAGGAGTGGTGAGAGAGGTCATCCTTGTCTTGTGCCAGTTTTCAAAGGGAATGCTTCCAGTTTTTGCCCATTCAGTATGATATTGGCTGTGGGTTTGTCATAAATAGCTCTTATTATTTTGAGATACGTTCCATCAATATCTAGTTTATTGAAAGTTTTTAGCATGAAGTGCTGTTGAATTTTGTCAAAGGTCTTTTCTGCATCTATTGAGATAATCATGTGGTTTTTGTCATTGGTTCTGTTTATGTGATGGATTATGTTTGTTGATTTGCTTATGTCGAACCAGCCTTTCATCCCAGGGATGAAGCCAACTTGATTGCAGTGGATAAGCTTTTTGATGTGCTGCTGGATTCGGTTTGCCAGTATTTTATTGAGGATTTTTGCATCGATGTTCAACAGGGATATTGGCCTGAAATTTTCTTTTTTTGTGGTTTCTCTGCCAGGTTTTGGTATCAGGATAATATTGGCCTCATAAAATGAGTTAGGGAGGATTCCCTCTTAGTTTCAGAAGGAATGGTCCCAGCTCCTCTTTGTACCTCTGGTAGAATTCGGCTGTGAATCCGTCTGGTCCTGGACTTTTTTTGATTGGTAGGCTATTAATTGCTGTCTCAATTTCAGCAATTGTTATTGATCTATTCAGGGATTTGACTTCTTCCTGGTTTAGTCTTGGGAGGGTGTGTGTCCAGGAATTTATCCAATTCTTGTGGATTTTCTCGTTTATTTGCATAGAGGTGGTTATAGTATTCTCTGATGATAGTTTGCATTTCTGTAGGATCAGTGGTGATATCCCCTTTGTCATTTTTTATTGCATCTATTTGATTCTTCTCTCTTTTCTTCTTTATTAGTATGGCTAGCAGTCTATCTATTTTGTCGATATTTTCAAAAAACCAGCTCCTGGATTCATTGATTTTTGAAGGGTTTTTCATGTCTCTATCTCCTTCAGCTATGCTCTGATCTTAGTTATTTCTTGTCTTCTGCTAGCTTTTGAATTTGTTTGCTCTTGTTTCTGTAGTTCTTTTAATTGTGATGTTAGGGTGTTGATTTTAGATCTGTCCTGCTTTCTCTTGTGGGCATTTAGTGCTACAAATTTCCCTCTACACGCTGCTTTAAATGTGTCCCAGAAATTCTGGTGTATTGTGTCTTTGTTCTCATTGGTTTCAAAGAACATCTTTATTTCTGCCTTAATTTCATTATTTACCCAGTAGTCTTTCAGGAGCAGGTTGTTCAGTTTCCATCCAGTTGTGCAGTTTTGAGTGAGTTTCTTAATTCTGAGTTCTAATTTGATGGCAGTGTGGTCTGAGAGACTGTTATGATTTCCATTCTCTTGCTTTTGCTGAGGAGTGTTTTACTTCCAATTATGTGGTCAATTTTAGAATAAGTTTGATGTGGTGCTGAGAAGAATGTATGTTCTGTTGATTTGGGGTGGAGAGTTCTGTAGATGTCTCCACCTTAAGTTCACTTGGTCCAGAGCTGAAGTCAAGTCCTGGATATCCTTGTTAATTTCCTGACTCATTGATCTGTTTAATATTTATAGTGGGGTGTTAAAGTCTCCCACTATTATTGTGTGGTGGTCTTACTCTCTTTTTAGGCCTCTAAGAACTTGCTTTATGAATCTGGGTGCTCCTGTATTGGGTACATATATATTTAGGATAGTTAGCTCTTCTTGTTGCATTGATCCCTTTACCATTATGTAATGCCCTTCTTTGCCTCTTTTGATCTTTGTTCATTTAAAGTCTGTTTTATCAGAGACTAGGATTGCAACCTCTGCTTTTTTATTGTTTTCCATTTGCTTGGTAAATATTCCTCCATCCCTTTATTTTGAGCCTATGTGTGTCTTTGCACATGAGATGGGTCTCCTGAATATGGCACACTGATGGGTCTTGACTCTTTGTCCAATTTTCTAGTCTGTGTCTTTTAATTGGGGCCATTTAGCCCATTCACATTTAAGGTTAATATTGTTATGTGTGAATTTGATCCTGTCATTATGATGCTAGCTGGTTATTTTGCCCGTTAGTTGATGCAGTTTCTTCATAGTGTCAATGGTCTTTTCAATTTGGTTTGTTTTTGCAGTGGCTGGTACCGGTTGTTCCTTTCCATGTTTAGTGCTTCCTTCAGGAGCTCTTGTAAGTCAGGCCTAGTGGTGACATAATCTCTCAGCATTTGCTTATCTATAAATGATTTTATTTCTCCTTTGCTTATGAAGCTTAGTTTGGCTGGATATGAAATTCTGGGTTGAAAATACTTTTCTTTAAGAATGTTGAATATTGGCCCCCACTCTCTTCTGGCTTGTATGGTTTCTGCTGAGAGGTCCATTGTTAGTCTGATGGGCTTCTCTTTGTGGGTAACCTGACCTTTCTCTCTGGCTCCCCTTAACATTTTTTCCTTCATTTCAACCTTGGTGAATCTGATGATTGCGTGTCTTGGGGTTGCTATTCTCAAGGAGTATCTTTGTGGTGTTTTCTGTATTTCCTGAATTTGAATGTTGGCCTGTCTTACTAGGTTGGGGACGTTCTCCTGGATGTTATCCTGAAGAGTGTTTTCCAAGTTGGTTCCATTCTTCCCATCACTTTCAGGTACACTAATCAAACGTAGATTTGGTCTTTTCACATAGTCCCATATTTCTTGGAGGCTTTGATCATTTTTTTTCACTCTTTTTTCTCTAATCTTTTCTTCTCGCTTTATTTCACTGAGTCGATCTTCAATCTCTGATATCCTTTTTTTCACTTGATCGATTTGGCTATTGATGCTTGTGTTATGCTTCACAAAGTTCTCATGCTGTGGTTTTCAGCTCCATCAGGTGATTTATGTTGTTCTCTAAACTGGTTATTCTAGTTAGCAATTCATCTAACCCTTTTTCAAGGTTCTTTGCTTCCTTGCATTGGGTTAGAGCATGCTCCTTTAGCTTGGAGGAGTTTGTTATTACCCACCTTCTGAAGCCTACTTCTGTTAATTTCTCAAACTCATTCTCCGTCCAGTTTTGTTCTCTTGCTGGTGAGGAGTTGTGATCCTTCAGAAGAGAAGAGGTGTTCTGGTTTTTGGAATTTTCAGGCTTTTTGCTATGGTTTCTCCCCATCTTCGTGGATTTATCTACCTTTGAGCTTTGATGTTGGTGACCCCTTTGGTTGGGGTCTCTGAGCAGATGTCCTTTTTGTTGATGTTGATACTATTCCTTTCTGTTTATTAGTTTTCCTTATAACAGTCAAGCCCCTCTGCTGCAGGTCTGCTGGAGTTTGCTGGAGGTCCACTCCAGACCCTGTTTTCCTGGGTATCACAAGCAGAGGCTGCAGAACAGCAAAGACTGCTGCCTGTTCCTTCCTTGGGAAGCTTTGTCCCAGAGGGGCACCTGCCAGATGCCAGCCAGAGCTCTCCTGTATGAGGTGTCTGTCAGCCTCTACTGGGAGGTTTCTCCCAGTGAAGATACATGGGGGTCAGGGACCTACTTGAGGAGACAGTCTCTCCCTTATCAGAGCTCAAATGCTGTGCTGGGAGATCTGTTGCTCTCTTTGGAGCTGTCAGGCAGGGTCATTTAAGTCTGCTGAAGCTATGCCCACAGCTGCCCTTTCCCCCAGGTGCTCTGTCCCAGGGAGATGGGGGTTTTTATCTGTAAGTCCCTGAATGGGGCTGCTACCTTTTTTTCAGAGATGCCCTGCCCAGAGAGGAGGAATCTAGAGAGACAGTCTGGCTGCAGTGGCCTTGCTGAGCTGTGGTAGACTCCTCCCAGTTTGAACTTCCTGGTGGCTTTGTTTACACTGTGAGGATAAAACCACCTACTCACGCCTCAGCAATGGTGGACAACCCTCCCTCCACCAAGCTTGAGCATCCCAGGTTGACCTCAGACTGCTATGCTAGCAGCGAGAATTTCAAGCCAGTGGATCTTAGCTTGCTGGGCTCTGTGGGAATGGGATCCGCTGAGCCAAACCACTTGGCTCCCTGGCTTTAGTCCCCTTTCCAGGGAGTGAAGGATTCTGTCTCACTGGCATTCCAGGTGCCACTGGGGTATGAAAAAAAAATACAAACTAAGCCTTCAGCTAGTTCTGTGTCTGCCCAAATGGCTACCCAGTTTTGTGCTTGAAACCCAGGGCCCTGGTGGCCTAGGCACCAGAGGGAATCTCCTGGTCTGCTGGCTGCGAAGACTGGGAAAAGCGCAGTATCTGGGCCAGAGTGCACCGTTCCTCCCGGTACAGTCTCTCATGGCGTCCCTTGGCTGGGGGAGGGGAATCCCTCGACCCCCTGTGCTTCCCAGGTGAGGCAACCCCCGACCCTGCTTCAGCTCACCCTCTGTGGGCTGCACCCACTGTCCAACCAGTTCCAGTGAGATAAACCAGGTATCTCAGTTGGAAATGCAGAAATCACCCACCTTCTGCATCAATCTCTCTGGTAGCTGAAGACCAAAGCTGTTCCTATTCGGCCATCTTGCCATCAGAACCCCCAAGATTAGTTACAGATGTAATTTTTTCCCCACCAAGAACAGCTTTGCAGGGTCCTTTCAAAATATGGCAAAGAAACATGTTTTGGGGGTAAAATATTTTTACTTTCTTGTCACATAATGTTATGTCAGGGTCAGATTGGAAAGTAAGTCACAATATATAAGGTTAAGTAAAACCCATCTGATGAGAATTTATGGTTTGTAGGACATGACACCTCAGACCCTTTAGATAGGAATTTGGTCAAGATAAAATAATCAGAGCTTAGTCCTTACATCCATGAGTGGTGAGATGACAATAGAAGAATGGGGGCCGGGGGTGGGGTGGGTCAGAAATGCTATCTTTTATTCCTTTTCTTTTTAAAATCTCAATATGGTCCCTAGCATAGCACCAACTAGTGGGGCACCTTGTAAATGATTACGAGCTGATTATTTGAACTCATGGAAGCACTAGAAAGATGTCCTAAAAATCTACTTCAGAATTATCAGGTAAACACAATGAAAACCGCATCTTTGTAAGTACAGAAACACACATTATTGGAAGGGTTCTGATCGATGACACAACAAAAAACGTAGACTCAAGTGAGAATATCTAATTAGGATCAGGTGAGAGGATGTGGATGGAGGTGTTTTGCAAACTGTCAAGTGTCTCATGGATATAATGAACACATGAGAGTTGCTGTGAATATTGAAGAAAGGTCTGAACAGTCACAATCTTCCATCAGACTACAATGAAACTCTACTGCATACCAATATTTTTGGTGGCAGCAATGTACCCAGGTTTTTTTAAAAAATCATTTTCTAAGGTACTTTATAGACAGCAGTGGTTATGTGATAAAATACTCACCAATGAGATGAAAGATGAAATCTATGATAGGGCTTTTAAGAAAAATACTGATTTCCTGACTTAAAGAGAAGTAAACTTCAACGGCATATGCCTTTGCTCTTCACTCCTTGCTCTTTTTCCTTTTACCTGCTTGGAATGCAATTACAATCTGAGGGTGCAGTAGCTATCATGTGACTATACGGAAAATCTACTTCTCAAGGGTATTGGAGACAGACAAGAGAAGAAATGAGATTCCCCGGCAGAATCCTTAAGCTACTACACTGGCACTGAGCTGTTATCTCCAAACTTCTTGTTATGTGAACAAAAATAATCATTTACTTAACTAATCCACGGTTATAAAGGTTTTCTGCTACTTACTGCTGAATGCAATCATAATAGCTGATTTATCTATCCTTGTAAAATGCCTAACATTCATATGTAAAATTAATAATACTAAAAAGTCTGTTGAGTTACAGGTACCTGATGTTGGACTAGGCTCACCCTCTAGTTAAGTGATCTGTCCATGCCCATAGCCTCACAGCCTTTGAAGTTCAAATTTGTGTTACAGCGAAGTGGTAAGTTTCTACATGCAGAACTTCGTGGTCACTTTTGAATGTTAAATCTTTTATTGCTAAAAGTTTGGCTGTTTTGGATGTCGACAAAGAGTTGAACTCTAAAATATTGGAGATTTATTCTGAGCCAAATATAAATGACCATGGTCTGTGACACAGCCCTTAGGAGGTCCTGTGCCCAAGGTGGTCAGGGCTCAGCTTTGTTTTATACATTTTAGACAGGCATGAAACATCAGTCAAATACACTTAAGAAATACATTGGTTTGGTCCAGAAAAGTGGAACAACTCAAAGCCAGGGGGCTTCCAGGCTATAGGTGAATTTAAACATTTTCTGGTTGACAATTGGTTGAGTTTGTCTAAAGACCTGGGATGACAGAAGGGAAATATTCAGGTTAAGATAAAGATTGTGGAGACCAAAGTTCTTTTGAAGTCTTATAGTGGCTGCCCTTAGAGACAATAGGATAACAAATGTTTCCTATTCAGATTTTAGGTAATCTCTTTAGGATTGGGAGGGTCTGAAAGAAAAAGATCTAGCTATGTTAATAGAGATTCTTTACAGATGAACATTTTCCCCCACAAAGAACAGCTTTGCAGGGCCATTTCAAAATATGACAAAGAAACATATTTTGGGGTAAAATATGTTGATTTTCTTCTTTGTCTCATAATGTTATACCAGAGTCAGGTTGGAAAGCAAATCACGATCTGTAGGCTTAAATAAAACCCATCTGATGAGAATGTATTATTTTTAGGGCATGACTCCCCAGATCCCTTAGATAGGAATTTGGGTGAGATAAAAAAAAATCAGAGTTTAGTCCTCATGGATTTTGAGTACAGTTAATATACCCTACAACTCAGAAAACGCAGGAGGAATTTTAACTCCATGGCCAGAATTTCTCTAAATGGCTTCTTAACAATTATCCAATGACTACAACACTAAACTCTAGAATACATATATGTTTTAAAAAAAACTTTCATCTAATTCAAGATACGCTATCTCCTTTCACATATTGAATAGACTATCCCATTTGTTATATATAAAAGAAAAAACAGTAAAATATCATTTGAAAGGGATGTGGACTAAGGGCTGCTTGAGCAACCTTTTTGGGCCCTGTGAGTTCCCCACATAGCTCTTGGACTGTATTATGGCTGTGGCACTCCCCTAAAACTGAGATCTTCATATGTGATAGATTTCTGGGGGTGAGATTTCAGTATTTCTCAGAACAATTTCTGTAATATATCAGACCTGAGAAATGCTTTTGAACAAAAGGGTGTAACTGAGAAATACTTCATTGACTATCCTTCTTTAAATAGTCACAGTAAATGTTAGCTTATTAAAGGCACCGAGCAGTTTCACAGTAAAAACACTTGTTAATATTTTTTTAACTCAGCATAGTTCATAGAACCCTTTTCTTTTATAATGCTTACTTCTATAGAGCCCTTTTGAGATGGGGGCTTAGAATACCATCATGATCTAGCTGAAAGAAATCTAGTTGAAGAAAATTTGACATCGTTTTCAATTTTCTTTCTTGGTTTTTTTTTTTTTTTTTTTTTTTTTTTTGAGATAGGATCTCACTCTGTTGCCCAGGCTGGAGTGCAGTGGCATGATCATAGCTTACTACAGCATCGACCTCCTGGTCTCAAGTGGTCCTCCCACCTTGACCTCCCAAAGCACTGGGATTACATGCATGAACCACCATACTTAGCCTTTCCTTGATATTTTTCAAGTATTTTTTTTTTTTGCCTTAAGTTGTTTTACCCATTAGAAGAACTTGCAGACAACATTAAACAGAATAGCACTAACCTGCTATGCAAATTCAGTCACATAAATAACTTCATTTCCTCTTTCTTAACTGAGATTGTTTGCTGAGAATCTCCAAGACTCTTCTGTTGGAAAACAAAACAAAACAAAACAAAACAGTGATTCTATTCTGTTTTTATTAATGATATATCTTTGAGTGTTTTCTTCCAACTGGTTGAATAAACACCACTGCTGTCTATCTCTATCCCAAAATGGAATTGCCCTGGGGTGACAAGTCACTTTTCTATCTCTGTAGAAGTCTGATTCTCCTTATTTCCAGAGCTGATGAAAGCTACAATTAACACATGTGAGCTGTCTATTAGCATGGTCTGTGAGACCTTGGAACATGTTTGGAGATGTGGGGCAGCCTTAAGGATAGAGATAAGCTTATTCTCAACATCTACAACAAATAGAGCAAGCAAAAAAGGACACAGACTCCTACACAAATAATGCAAATGACACTATTGAAAGCCAGCCTAGAGAGACAGTTGTTAATAGGGCAGATCACAATTAGTGACATATTTCTCCTAATGTTTTTTAAAATTGCATGAGTGCCTGTTTTATAGAGTAGGGGATAGACCAGAGACTATAGCAAAGTCTTTTAAAACTACTATTACATTTTAACTACTTTTAAAATTTGTTGGGTTGGTCTTCTACTTATACAACATTTTTAGACAAATTGCTTTTATTATATTCATTTGACAAACATTTACTGAGCACCTGCCTTTTGCAAAGCATCATGTCAAAAAGTCTGATGGTGTGGCAGGTGATATTTTCCAAATTGACTCCCATCCCACATGCCCTTAAAATGTACCTTCAACACTACCATCGGGAGGTGTGATCTATATTTCCTCCTTTTTGAAATTGGGTGGGCTTTTGTGACCAACAGAGTATGGTGAAAGTAATACAGTAACATTTTTGAGGCTGTCATCACAGGCCATACAGCTTCTACCTTGCTCACTGGAATTGTCTCTTGAAACTCTGAGCTGCCATATATGCAGTTTTAATGCCCTAAGGCTATGATGCTGAACCGAAGTCCAAACTAACCCATGTGGAGAGACTATTTAAGAGCAGTCCTGAGACCACATGAAGATTGTTGATAGATACCAAGCCAGACCCCAGCTACTCCAGTCCTCATTCCCATTGTCATAGCTCCAGCCACCATCTGACTACAGCCACATCCTAGACTGTAAGCCAGAGCTGCTCCACCAAGCCCTTCCCAAATTCCTGACTTACAGAGACAAATGATTTTTGTCTGAAGCCACTAAATTTGGGGATAAAATTGTTACACAGTGATAGATAACTGAAACAGAGGAATACAGTGATGACAGTTCATGATCTTTGGGCCCAGAGAATCATAAATTCCAGGTGGGAAGCCCAGATATGCACAAAGGAGAACAAAAGAATGAATGAAGGGAAGAAACAGACCGAAATGGCTTGCAATGGGCTAGCTGTAGCACGAGGTGACTCAGGTTCTTTTTTTTTTTTTGAGTCTTGCTCTGTTGCCCGGGCTGGAATGCAGTGGCTCGATCTCGGCTCACTGCAAGCTCCGCCTCCCAGGTTCACGCCATTCTCCTGCCTCAGCCTCCTGAGTAGCTGTGACTACAGGTGGCCACCACCACGCCCAGCTAATTTTTTTGTATTTTTAGTAGAGATCGGGTTTCAACATGTTAGCCAGGATGGTCTTGATCTCCTGACCTCGTGATCTGCCCATCTCAGCCTCCCAAAGTGCTGGGATTACAGGCTTGAACCACCACCCCCGGCCTGTGACTCAGGTTTTCAAACTAGTATGGAGAAGCCCTATCAAATCTCAGACCCATAGCATATTGTTGAGAGTCTCAACAGGTCCTGAAGGCCAAAGAGTTGTCAAGGAATGGAGCTTCAGATTTATGGCTGGTGTTTGAAATTTCCACAATCTTAAGTTTGAAGTAACTTGAATTTACACGTTTGGGATGAATAATAAGCAGCAGCATATATATGCATTATATTGTTTGACCATCATAAAAGCCTAATAGGTGTCCGTCTGGCCGAGCTTTATAATTCTACTGGATTATTTATTTAAAAAAATTAAGAAAGGCCTCACTCAAATTATTCAATTAAACATATTTATTGCATGCTTACTCTGGGCAAAAAGGCAACGCAATAAACCTAATAGCAGAGAAATAACAGTTCTTGTCATCATGTAGTTTAAACACTAGTTGGACACTTGTAGCATAGAATGACACACACACAAATAATTGACAGCAGTGAGGAAGAAATGTTAAGTGTACAATGTTAAGTACAAATTAAATATAGAGTTTAATATATTTGTCTATCATAGTCTTTTGCTTCAGATTACCCTTGCTCTACATGCTTTTCATGGTTCTGACCCAATTCTGATAATAAAAATCTAAACTCAGCCAGGTGTGGTGGCTCACACCTGTAATCCCAGCACTTTGGGAGGTCGAGGTGGGCAGATCACAAGGTGAGGGGATCGAGACCATCCTGGCCAACATGGTGAAACCCTGTCTCTACTAAAAATACAAAAATTATTTGGACATAGTGGTGCGTGCCTGTAATCCCAGCTACTTGGGAGGCTGAGGCAGGAGAATCACTTGAACCCAGGAGGCAGAGGTTGCAGTAAGCCGAGATTACACCACTGCACTTCAGCCTGGGCAACAGAGTTAGACTCCGTCTCAAAAAGGGAAAGGGAAAGGTAGAGGGAGAGGGAGAATATAATTGCTTGGGGCAATGTCGAGGCAGGCCCTGAGTTCACATGAGATCTCGTCATTTACCATTGTGTGGCACCACTCCCCACCCTTTCTCTCTTGCTCCTGCTTTCATCATGTGAAGTGCCTGCTCACCCTTTGCCTTGTGTCATGATTGGAAGCTTCCTGAGGCCTCCCCAGAAGCAGATGCCACTATGCTTCCTGTGCAGCCTGCTGAAGTGTAAGACAATTAAACCTCTTATGAGCTACCCAGTCTCAGGTATTCCTTTGTAGAAGTGGAAGAATGATCTAATACAATGCCATAGAAGCAGTTCCTGGACCACATAAAGCCATGTGGCTTTATGGTGATCAGGATATTCACCTGCTGTTTATGCCTGTTACCCAGGTCATGGTAAATGTTGTGGTCAAGGGTGCCCCTTTTGCATGGACACCACATGTAAGGATACTGCTGCAAAATTGAGCTGTGGTCAGAGAAGCCTTGTCAAATTTGCTGTCTTCCTTCCCCACATGAGTCTTACAGATGCTAATAAAAACAGTAGGTTAATTAACAAGAGAATGGAGAAAGGCAGAGGGGAAAGTCAAAGAGTTCATCTCAGGCAGGTGGAAATTTTAAAATGGTTATTAAGAAATGAGATGAACAAAGAAAAAAAGGAAAGGGGAGAGTCATGAGATTTGTTCCAGGGTGGAAATCTTTAGATGGTTATTAAGAAATAGGATGAATAAAATGGAAATTGATACGGTTAAATCAAAGGTCTTAATACAACACTATAGAAGGTTGGGTGGACCAAAGGGAGCCTCTGCTGGTCCCCCAACAGTAAGGGGTTCCAAACAGGTTTGCTGTATTTACCCCAGTTTGGGGAAATTTTAAAAGTCAGAAGGCAAAGATTACAATGAGAAAGCTGACCAACAATAGCTTGGAGCAATGTTGAGGCAGGTTAATTCAGAAAGATTGACAAAAAGGCCAGGGACATTTGGCTCAACCTGCTGCTAAGGACCCAAAGCCTTTTGCCCAAGAGAAGGTAGTCTGGGGGTGGAGAAGAGGTCACGCGACTTGAACATAAAAATGTAAGGGTTGGCCGGGCGTGGTGGATCACGCCTGTAATCCCAGCACTTTGGGAGGCTGAGGTGGGTGGATCACGAGGTCAGGAGATCGAGACCACCCTGGCTAACACGGTGAAACCCCGTCTCTACTAAAAATACAAAAAATTAGCAGGGTGTGGTGGTAGGTGCCTGTAGTCCCAGCTACTTGGGAGGCTGAGACAGGAGAATGGCATGAACCCGGGAGGTGGAGCTTGCAGTGAGCCAAGATCAAGCCACTGCACTCCAGCCTGGGTGACAGAGCAAGACTCCGTCTCAAAAAAAAAAAAAAAGAAAAAAAAATGTAAGAGTTGGTAGCATAGTGAAATTTGGAATATTTAAACAGGCTGTAAGTAAAGTAATTTGCATCTCCTTTTTAATAGCAATGGGATATTTTATCTGACTGGGGGATGTCCCCTCTACCTAATATTGTAAAAGAGAAGGCATAAAAATCTGCCCTCTGAGCAATATTAAACATGCTAAATGGGAACCAGTAAGACACCCTAAGCCCGCACAGTATATAATAGAAGCTGAAGTGCTCGTAGGGACAAATTCTCCATTTGCTAGTTCTTTGTGGAACAGTTACTAGGACTTACGGCAAAAGCCTTTGAGGGCCTCTCAATGATAACTACAAGGACTTTGGACTTTGATAATTTCCACTTGAGGGGCATTTACAGCCTTGCAATAGAACTTTAACTGAAGCTATCCCTGTGACTGAAGGACATAACATGATCTTGAAATCTGGAATATGCATGCTGTCTTGGTGATGTCAGGGAAACACTCTATTAGGGATAGTGGTTCCCAGAAGAGTTCCATAGTAAAATGGAGATGATTTATACAGGGCCATGCTACCTAGGGAATTCAAAGAACAGACACTCAAGAGCAGGGAACATCTTTTCCCCTAGGACTGACTCTGGAACTGTGTGAGGAGCTGCTGGATTCTATGGACACTTGGATAGTGCCCTATAGCTCTTGACTACAGCTCTTGACTGACCAACAAAGAGCTGCTTGGTGTGTGGATGGCAGTTCCAAGGGGAATGGACAACATCCTAATTAAAAGGATGGCACTCTGGTTGAACAACGTAAAAACGAATCAGCTCAGTGAGCTAAATTGCATGCCGCCTTCCTAACACTGATGAAGTAATTGGACAGTGGTAAAAGCCCCTGTGTTTGGGTTTTTACTGGCTTGTGGGCAGTGGCCAATGGCCTGGCCACACATGGTCACACAGAAGGGCAGTAGAAACCTGGCCTTTTAAAGGGATGCTCATATGGAGCTTGGCCCTCTGGAAATATGAAAGGTGCCTTAAGGTGGGCTGTGTAGATGTACATTGGAAGAGCCTCCTTCCAGGGTGGGAAGGTGACTGGAATCAACAAGCAGATATCCTTGTGTGCTCCCTTGAGGTGGCCACCTGAGTCCATGAAATGAGTGGATATGGGGGACCTGCAGAAGTGTAAGGAGGGGCCGGATCTAGGCATGTTCCTTTCGCACCCTCTCTGGAACACGATGCCAGTAAGAACTGTTCTGTTACTCAGCAAGTGAGACAGAGACTGCAGATGGCTATGGGACAGATTTCATGATGGGAAGGCCCTGGACACAGCTGGTGAGTGAGACCGATGCTGTTAGCCCTGGGAGGCTACAAATGGTTCTTGACAGGAGGAGACACTGATTCTGGAGTGGGTTTTCCTTACCTGGTGGAAGATGCAAATACTCAGAGTGCCACTAACAACAACAATAACAAAAATAGAACAGAAGATATTGCTCGGATTTGGTCAGCCAACTGTTATTTCTTCAGACTAAGGAATACACTATGCAGCCAACAATGTTCAACAATGGGCAAAAAGATCTCCTCCTCAGAATAATGATTTTTTGATAGGAGAAGTGGAACAGGCAATTAAAACATTGGTTGTCTAAAATGGGGAAGGATAAAAGCACAAGAGGCTGGTTTACACGCCTTCATGAGGTTGTGCTCACACCCAACATGAGGGAGACTAAAGGAGTGTCGCCACTAAAATTTCCTATCTTTTTCTGGTTGATCTGGGGAAGAGGGGATGTGGAAGCATGCTGGAAAAACTATGTAATTTCTGCGAAGGGAGGAGTACACTGGCATAATGATTATGATGTTTTCTTTCTTCTCCACAACGTCTCTTTCTCTCTTTTCTCCTGTATTTGATGCAGTGGTTCTGGGACCAGGGCTGCAACAAGTGCTGGAAGCAAGGATGATTCCTAAGCAAGAAACTGTCACTATGTTTTTAAACCTTATGTCAGAATTTCTAAAGGCCTGACAGGCTTAAGGGGGATGGATTGTGCCTTCACCCCATTTGGCAAAACTGAGCTTAACAGTGGATACAGTTATGTTGCCTGGGGATCCACTATTGCTGCACCTATGTAACCCATTATGTATGTATGTATGTATGTATGTATGTATGTATGTATGTATGTATGTATCCTTACCCCATCTGAATGGGAGTGGACTGAGGGGAGGCATACACTAGACTGCTATTGCTGCCTGCAATCTAAACAGCACAGCAACAACGCTAACGCTCCTTGCAAAGGTTTTTAATGAAGGATGGAAAAATAGTAGCTGAGGATAAAGGAATAAATGGGTTATGAAGTCAGGGAAATCCAATATTACATTAACACCTCAAAAGAGGCTCAGAGCAAGAGATATCATTGTCGCTTAGCTCAGTGGTAACAGATGCCTGAAAGGGTGAAGCTTCGTTTGCGGAGATCACTCCTGTTTTTGGAACATGGCAAGATTGAACGGAAGCCTGCAAACCTGAGTGGCCTTGCCCTGGGAGACACATTCTTAGGACATAATGATGGGCTGGACTAATGACTAATGTGACTGAATGGGAGTCTGATAATGTGCCAGTATCTTTTGAGTTGTGTGTTGTTTTGATGGAAGGAATCCAGGGTTACACAAAGAATGATAAAGTGAAGTGCCTTTTACCCCGTTTTGTGTCTTCTTAACTATGTGGCCTTAGGTAACTTAGTTTACTCTTCTGAGTTGTTCATCTGTAAAAGAGGAATAGCTATAATAATTTCTACTTCATAGGGCTTTGGAGAAGTGATCCCTTCTTTCCTCAGGGAATTAATCTGACCCCTTCAAAGGTGGGTGTAGAACAGAACTCTCAGACTTCCTACAGCACAGATATTGGACCAATCACAAACTGTGCCCCTACTTAGGGAAAATTGACCCAAAAGGAAGTACAATTTGGCCAAGATTTTCTCCTTGCTGGAGTCCTCTGTCTTAGGGGCTGGCACACTCAAGGAGTAGGCTGGAAAGGCAGAAGCAACTTGTGGTTAAGCCCTTCACATCTGAAGTCAGACTGCCTGAGTTCAAATCCCATTTCTGTGACCTGTTAGCTGCATGGCCTGGGGCAGTTACTTAACTCTATGTCTTCATTTTCCATCTGGAGAATGGGGACAATAGTATCTACATCCTAGAATTGGTACACAATTGAACAGTGTTTAGAACATAAGTATTAGCGATTATTACAAGTTTATAAATATTAACGGAGATACAAAATTGAAGTAATACCCAGTCCCACTTTGGATCTAAAATGGCCAAGTAGTTGAGGCAAAATTATTTTGGTGTTATACTCTTTTTATTCAGAATGATGTCAATTTTCTACTTTGCTAGTTTGAACCTGACCTCAGAAATGACACCACCACCATGATCTTCTTGAATCACTGTAACTTCCTTGTCATGCCCTTGCGGTTCTCCAAGTCTTGAGAGGTCCAATAAATCAGATAAACTTTTCCATATCACTTCACCAGACTCTGCTAACCCTAAGAGAGCAAGGTGCTGTCTAATGCATAATTATTTGGTTTAATAAAAGGAAATTTGGCTGAAAGCAGTTATCACCATAGATATAGAATCATAAAAAGTTGGTAGGGTACAGAATGGGCACCATGAAAATTTCACAAGGTTGAAATCAGGGCAAAGCTCAGCATGTGGGGTGAGCTGGAAGAATGCTCTCAGCAAAGTGGTTATTAATATCTACTAAAGAACCTGACCTTTGTTGCTGTAAACAAGACCAGATAATTACATGTTCCTTCGAAGAGCAACCTTGAGATGAAAATTGAGGCATTTGTCAAAGGGAACAGGAAAGTAATTTGTACTAAAATGAAACAGTTTTGGTATTAATATCTAACAGCTTTGGCCCTTGTCATGAAAGATTTGTTATGTTAGGTAATAATTATAATTAACATTCTTGTCTATGAGGCTTCTTCTTCTCATTTTCCAGAGAAAGGGGCCTAAAGGAATGTGATAGTCTGTGGGAAGGACTATTTTTCCCTCCTTTTTTTCCAGTGGGTTCAT
The DNA here is from genome assembly GCF_000001405.40 of Homo sapiens. Lineage (NCBI taxonomy): Eukaryota > Metazoa > Chordata > Mammalia > Primates > Hominidae > Homo > Homo sapiens. The sequence goes on from NC_000012.12 coordinate 67,881,650, forward strand.
TCTTTTCCCTGTCTCAATTATTTATCCAAGATGAAGATGCTTTTGGGTCATAGAGTCATGATTATAAACAGGCCCAGGCAAGTAAGGTGAGCATCCTCCAGCTCTGGAAACACTTTTTCCACCACTGACTCACAAGCAGGTGAGAAACAAACCTTAAAGCCCAGTTTGTTTATAGTTACTATCTTGCTGTGGTGCCCTGTCACTCCTTTCTGTTCCCGAAGGTAAGATACGTTTTCAGGGAAAGAATTAATGAGAATTACCAAAGTGTAAAACAGTCATTTTAATTTAACATTCTTTTTCCTGACTCTTTTAGTTACACACTCTAAAATACTAGACTTATGTGAAAATGACAGGATATAAACAAATGAAATACATGAAAGGATCACTCATTTCCAAGTCAAATTTCATTTTCATTCTTCAGGGTTACATCTTGTCTCTTTTCATTTTTTCCATTCTCATTCTTTCAGGTTAAATGAAAGCACTTTCATTAGTAAATGAAATAACTGGCTTTTATCCAGGTCAGATGGTCAACAGGGGGTTATCCTTGCTAATACTGTCACATTATTCCAGAAACATACCTTGATGCCTTGTGCCACATTACAGTGTTGTTAAAGAAACCAGGACAAGGATCTTCAGTTCCTGCTCTATGCCATGCAACATATTTTGTACTGCACAGTTGATACAAAGGGTATAGGAGTAGATTCCTCTCGGACCACTCAAATTTTAAAAGTTAAAGAGCATTCTAAGATTTAAATAGTGTATCAAGATGCTGAAGTAGACATGTCTTTAAGTCATATACATCAGTTGGCAAATGGACCAACAATTACTGTTGAATTAATAACAAATACTGTTAAAGTAGAGGGTAAATGCAAGTATTTTAATCTGGATTTTCCAGATCATTTAGAAAGTGAAATTTGAGCTGGGTTCAATAGGGAGGTAAGCAGCAGATTTTAAGACAGGTGGAATGAACTTGGTAAAAACAGGGCAGTGAGCAAGCACCTGGTATATTTCATAAAGAAAGTGAACCCATTCCATCGGAGCAGAGGTTTAGTAAAAAGGTGACGAGGAACAGGCTGGAAAGCAGGCTGAGGTCAGATTGTGGAGGCCTGTTACATTTCCAAAACAGTATTTGTAATCTATTTTCTTGGGAATGGGAAACTATTGAAAGTTTATTAATATTAAGCAAGGAGGACAAGACAGTTTGCAATCAAACCTAGTGTGAGAATGAAACAGGGATTAAATTATTCAACTAAATCATGGACAGGAATGTGATTGCTTGAAGGCATACACACTCAAGGCAGATTTGCCAGGCTTCCCTCCAACCTGGCCAGCATGGAGAAGGAGCAGCTGTGATGGAGTGGAAAATGCGTGGTCTGGGTACACACAGACATGATTTCCAGTCACTTCCCAGCTACTTTCTTGTTGTTTAACTTTGGGCATTTCCTTAATTCCCCTGATACTCTATTTTCTCATCTGTAAAGTGGAGATACAACATCTACTTCACCATGTTGTTAGGAGTAATTAGAAATGATATATGAGTTTCTGGATCATAGTTTATACTCAATGAATGGTAGCTGTATTAATTTTAATTGGAATTATATTTATTGTAATTGTGTATCAGTCATCTCATATATTAAATAGAAGCTTGAAAATTGTAGCAGGACCAATTCTGATTTATTAACCATATTTCCCCACCCCCCCGCCCCCCAAAAAAAATGCTTGTTAAAAATATTTGGTTGGCAGTGAGTAACCAAGTCATCTTTATAGATGAATATCAACACCTTCTAGGTAGAGTGATGGTACTGTTTGGGAGGACAAGTGCTTTGTCTCCCCTAAGGAAAGTAGCAGCTGAGAACCCAGTGATTTCACTGACACCTTGGCTGGGGACACAGGAAATCTCAATCACTGAGACTCCATGGTGAGGAAGGCAGGGAGTAGGGGCACCCGAGGACCTTGATCTGCCCTCCCTCTTGCCTCTGTGGGGGCTCCATACTAGAAGGATGGGAAGCAGATCAAGCATTGGGTGACACAGATCTGGTTTCAAATTCTGGCTCTGCAATTTACCAACTGGGAATCCAGTACAAGTTGCTTAGACTCTTTGAGCCTCACAAGTTCCATCATTAAAAGAAGGATGATAATCCTTTGCAGGGTTGTTGTGGGAATTAAATGAGCTAATATGAAGGAAGATCCTGATTTCAAATAGGCCCTCAGTACATGGTGGCAATGACAATTCTCCTCATTCTCTCACTTTTTCTTCCTTCCAGCCTCCCTTCACTGCCTGAGACTCTTTTCAGGAAGGACATGAGCCAATGCAGTCCATGAGAGCTGGCTACGGAAGGGGACATCCTTGCTCCTTCTTACCCCTGCTTATCCTCAGCTGTAATCTGGTGACTAAATGGCTTCTCCTTCCATCAGCAAGGGGACAGTGAAACCAGGCACTGTGTTGGTCACTCTGGATAAAACCCTTAACTGATGACTCCATTGGTAAGGACAAAGCAGAGTGAAATACCTGATAATGAGGTAAATCTCTTTTGGAACCTGAAGAAAGGTGAGAAGTGAATGGGTGTTAGTAGGACGATAAGAGAAGAAAAATTCTCAAAGATGGAAGGAGGAGAAAGTAAAAAGAACCAATTGTAGGGCAGTATTTTAAACAAGTGTTTTTTTCATTTATCAATTAGAGAATCTGACTTTTTTTATTTCTTAAGCCAGTTGTTCTTAGAAAATTGCCATCTTCCACATTTCTTATTCAGATACCTCCACAAAAGGAGAAATTTGGCAGCTTTATATTCTGGGGTTTTGTGAGAAAAATTCATTTTGTCACCCAGAGTCAGCTGCTGAGAAAAAAAAATAGCAGCAGGACCTTTTCCTCTCGTTGTTATTCAAATACAACCCAGTTCTCCAGGCTGACCGAGGAATAAGTTGGAAGCAAGCAGTGAGCAGAGACTAATGCCTTAATTGGCTATTAATATATGGTCACTGCTATTCTTAGAAATAACTGGTGTTTCAATAACTACCTCAAAAATGGAGTTCAGATTTCATGGCTGTGTTCTATCACACATAAAACCAGGAAGAGTTGATGGGTAATAGGTTGGACCACGATTCATTTCTGGAAAGCTCCAGTTACATTTGCTATTGCTGTAAAAAGTCGTGCTTGGAAAGTTGCCTGGTAACCTGATTTATCTTGAATATTAATAATTCACCCATCAGGAAACTACCTTGCCTGTAACTCAGTGTCAAAATTGAACACCTCTTTGACTATGTGGTCTGCAAGGTAATGGTGGTGGGGTTGGAAGTAAATTAGTTAAATGTGGTTAGAGAATGAATCTGATAATGTGTTTATCCAACTTGGGAAGAATTTAGATGTTGTTAAAGGATATAAAGTATATAATCTTAAAGAATTGAAATGGGGATTTCTTTTTAAGTTCTACATAATTGTTACTTGATAAACTCAGATGACGTCTCACACTGAAAGTTCACTAACCACATAATTAATAGGGACATGTATTATTGATGTACTAAGACTACTTAATAGCACTTTGGTTCCATTTACAGAAGGATAAAATAGTCACCAGGCGTGAGATCAATAAATCACAAGTTTTGAGTGTTATATTTACAACCTGAGAGTCAAGTAACTCTTCATCATTGAACAGTCTCCCACTTGGAACTATGAGTGACCTGTTTCAGGTTTGTTGAGTGCCCTTGTGAAAAAATTCTAAGCTATGGAAACCATTATTTTCCCCCTGTGAAATTTCCCCATAGTACTTAGTTGGGCCTCCTTCCCTATGTGGACGCTTTGAGATGTCACAGAGGCAAGCAGTACCAAAGATCATGAAAGATTTGGTAGTTACAAACACCTTGGTTCGCATCCAGCAACTATCTCCCAAATTCAGCTGGGTCTGACATAGCAGCTGAGCTTCCTGCTCAATTTGGCCCCAACTCTGCCCAGACAGAGGACTTCTCTGTTTCCACTAGAACGAGCCAGGAACAAAAACTCCATCCATCTAAAAATGCTTGAAATAATTCTAGTGTTGGGGAAGACAAAGAGAAAATAACCGTGTGGTTTCACTGTAAGGATTTAGGTATAAGGAAGGGAAATGGTGTCAGTCAGGGATTACATCCTCATATGCCACTTGAGGAACCAAATACCTCCTAAGAAACAACCCACATCCGACCCTAAACCCTCAGATGCCAGGAATCATTAAGAGCATTCACCACAGGAGAAAATTTCTCTGTTAAACTAAAGATAAACCACTGTGCCCCAATTCCCAGATGATGGAAATCGGGCTTTAAATGATATAATGAGTCACATTTGCATTCTTTTTAGAAGATAAACAGCCAATTTATTTTTTGCCTTGAATGGCATGTCTTTTAGTAATGTGATTGAGGAGATAAAATAACCAGTGGTAACTGATTAACTATTTTAAGTCATTGTGTTCAAAACGTGTGATATATTAGTTCACTTATCCAGAAGTGATCTCAATGATTAGGAGTTGAGCCAAGGAAATAAGCAAAGCAGCTAAGTGAAGGGTAAGCAACTGAAATACTTACAAACTGAACCCTCTCTCTTATGCTCTGAACTCACAGAAAAGGGCCTTAGAGCACTCCCCAGTATCTATTTATTTTATTTAAGATACAATTCTAATAGCAAAATGGAAATAGTTGTTGCAAAGAGATAAAAAGGATGCTGTCCAAGTCAGGCAACTGAAAGTGGCAAGAAATGACAGAACTGACAATGATAAAAGAAATGGATAAATCAAAATGGCAGGAAAAAAAAATTCATGAACATTTTCTCAGTGTGGGACCATTCTGCGTAGAGTAAAATAAAAATAATTAAGCAAAACACAGATTTGGTGTTCATATTTCATAACCCTCTAATATCAGAAAATATGCGATCTGTGTTAGGAAGACAATTGATGTATCTTAGAAATAGTTCCAACATAAAAGGTTAAGTTATTTTAAATTCAGTCATCTTGAAAATAAGTGCAATGCTAACTCCTCATGTTGTTCTTCATGGATTACAAGGAAGCAGTGGAGTATCACAGTTAAAAGGATGCATATGGTTCCCAACTGCCCAGATTTCAAATCCCAGCTATGCCGTGTGTGACCTTGGACAACTCACTTAACGTCTCTGAAGCTCAATTCCTCCACTGCAAAATGGGTAGTGGTAAGGATTTAATGAGTTAATGTATATAAAGCATTGGAAGAGTACCTGGCACATAGTAAGTGTTAGATAAGCATTCTCTACAAAGATATTTGCATTTACCAAGTACCTAATGTGTGTCAGGTACTGGGAAGGGTGCTGTGATCTTTATCATTATATTTTATAAGATTTTACTACATGAAGTGAAACACCAGAATCTTGCCTTCAATATTCCTCAAGCCCAACGTAACCGGCAATAAAGAGTTATCAACCCTAGTACAACACAATGTAATCCATTATACCTAAAGTTCTTTTAACCTGATTTCTGCCATAGTAATTAACTTTTGTTTCTTGAAACTTTATGTCCATTTTGGTTGGCTACTATTCTATCTCTCTGTGAAATGTTCCCCTCTCTTCATTTTGCATGTATATTCATCACCTCTTCTGTTCAGTTACTATTTTAGACCTCAAGGATCCAATGATCTGGGAACACAGTTCATCTGAGGATAGGCATTACAAGGTAAACACAGTGTTGATAAAAGTTCTGTGTCCCTGATGGTGTCAAGAAGAAATGTGCCATCATTTTCAGGTAAAAACAACAACAAATAAACAAACAAAACTAAAACAACCAGGAAATCTGCATCTGCTTCCTGAAATATGTCCACAAAAATCAAATAGGTATAGATATACTTTTGCCTTAAACAGATAAATGAAATTTTTGAGTATCAAAAAATTATTTTCAACATCCACAAAATACTGAAACAGTACTCTTTAAAACAGTCAAGGTAATGACAAACAAGGAAAGACAGAGAAAATGTCACAGACCAGAGAAGACACGGCATGATGACTGAATGTAAGGGAGTGTCCTGAATTGGATCCTAGAACAGATAAAGATTATTAGTAAAAAGCAGTTGAAATTTGCACAAGGACTGGAGTTTAGTTAATAGTAATGTATAAATGTTAACCTCATAATTTTGATGACTGTAATGTGGTTATGTACAATGTTAGCACTGAGGAAACTAGGTTAGGGGTATTCAAGAACTCTCTGTACTATCTTTGCAACTTTTCCAGAAATCTAAAGTGATTCCAAAATAAAAAGTGTATTTAGAAAAGTATTTTCAGATCTTTGAGAGGCAGGAGAGCGGGAACAACATGCACCTTAATGTCAGAAGGTTGAGTTTGTGTTTCCCTTTCACCACCATCCAACAAGATGACTTAATGCAAGTTGGTTGAGCCTCAGGATTCACATTCATAAAAGGGGGGGATACAATTTCTACCTTATACAGTGTTATTGAAAAGAACAAATAAAAAATTCATGAACCCATACAAAAAGTAACCATAGGCACAACTATTTTTCCAAACCCTGATTTACAGCTTCAATCTAACCTTAAAACTATTTACTCAATTGACACATACATTTTTCTTATTTTACTTTTCGAAAAAGATCAATAAATGATCTGTGATGCCTTCAATAGAGAAAAATTAAGAGTTGGATATCAGTCTCAGAGGGTTTACATTTTCAAGATGTTTTTCTTTCAAAAGTAACATTGAGCTTGTTGAACTTGACAAATTAGTGTTTTTTCGGAAAATCTCCTGCACTGATCTGGGGTGTCCCTGGGTGTGTATGAAGACTTGGGCAAGAAAGAGCTCAAGAAAAATTCATGGATTTGGTGTATTACTTTAGGGTTGCGTGATTCTGACTAACTTTAAGCCAAAACTAGGTAGAGGCAAAACGTTGCTGTGGAAGTTGTGAGAAAGTCCTTGGCAGAAAGAGCAGGCAGTGAGAGGAACAGGGGTGAAATTATCCTTTCATTTTCTGGAAGGTACTGCCAGTGAAGTGGTTAAGAGTATAGGCTTTTGATCCAGACCTTCTGGATTTGAAGCCAAACTCTGACTCTTCCTTTTTAGAGCTTGGGCAGGTGACTTAAGCTCTGTGTCTTGTTTAAAGATAATTAATAAGGACATGATCCTATCTGTATTTTGGAAAACTCCTCTGGAAGCAGTGTGGATGATCGATTAGAGCAACATCAGACCCAACAAGGGCCGTGGTAGAGAAGCCAGCACAATAGTAGAGAGGTGATGAGGGCCTAAGCTGCACAGGGAGCCCTGAGCATGGGGAGAAGGAGTCTAGAAAACCATGAAGGAGATGGGTATCAGCAGAAAGTGGGGGAATCAGGGAAAGAAAGGACTCTAGATGGATTCTTAGGCTCCTGGAGACTGGGATTTTGTCCATTAACCAAGATAGAGAATCATGGAAGAGTAGGGAAAAGTCATGCTTGTGATTTGGGACATACTACATGTTTGTGTTTGGGGACATTAAGAAGGAAATGCCTATCTGGGACAGGAACTTGTGTTTTATCTCATATACCACTCTGAGTAAATGGGAGCTTAAAGAGAGTTAAGTACAAGATAGGGGTTAAGAATGCTGTTTCTTTGACTTACTAGCTGTGTGTTTAAAAGGGTCAATTGTTTAACTTTTCTGCTGCTTTTTCTTTTGTTTTGTTTTGTTTGTTTGTTTGTTTTAAGACAGAGTTTTGCTCTTGTTGCCCAGGCTGGAGTGTAATGGCACGATCTCAGCTCACTGCAACCTCCACCTCCCAAGTTCAAGCAATTCTCCTGCCTCAGCCTCCATAGGCATCCACCACCACGCCCGGCCAATTTTGTATTTCTAGTAGAGGCGGGGTTTCTCCATGTTGTTCAAGCTGGTCTCGAACTCCGTCCTCAGGTGATCCGTCTGCCTCAGCCTCCCAAAGTTTTGGGATCACAGGCATGAGCCACTGCACCTGGCTAAGTTTGTTTGTAACATGGAAGAACAACGGGCTGGTCGTGGTGGCTCATGCCTGTAACCCCAGCACTTTGGGAGGCCCAGGAGGGCGGATCACTTGAGGCCAGGAGTTTGAGATCAGCCTGGCCAACATGGTGAAGCCCCATCTCTACTAAAAAAATACAAAAAAATAGCCAAGTGTGGTGGTGTGCACCTGTAGTCTCAGCTGCCAGGGAGGCTGAGGCACTAGAATTGCTTGAACCCAGGAGGCAGAGGTTGCGGTGAGCCAAGATCGTGCCACTGTACTCCAGATTGGGCAACAGAGCCTCAAAAAAAATAAATAAAAATAAATGGGAACAACAATAGCCATCTTTTAGAGTTGCTGTCAGAATTAAAGGAGATAATCATACAAAGAACTAGCCCTTTCCAACTCACTGTAAATCCTCAATCCATGTTAGCTTTTTGTAACATTAATAACATAGCAATAATAATTTGTAGCTTGAATAATAGTAAGTTGCCTAAAGAGATGTAGCTAAGGAAGTCTGAGTTAGCCTTTGGACTCTGAACTGCCTCTGCATTTAGCACACTGATATGCAGAGCAAGCTGTATCCACACTGATCTCAGTGTGCTGCAGTTTCAAAAGCTGTTCAGCTGGGATCAAGGAAAGCAATGACCGCCTACTCCCCAAATCCTTTCTATTTCGAAATTCCCAGGTCAATGATGACCATTGCCAGAGGGTCTCAGGAAGGTGGAATCCACATGGAGAGTTGGAAAAGGGAGGCCGAGGTGGGCAGATCACCTGAAGTCAGGAGTTCAAGACCAGCCTGGCCACCATGGCGAAACCTCGTCTCTACTAAAAAATACAAAAATTAGCTGGGTGTTGCAGTGGGTACCTGTAATTCCAGCTACTTAGGAGGCTGAGGCAGGGAGAACTGCTTGAACCCAGAAAGCGGAGGTTGCAGTGAGCTGTGATTGTGCCACTACACTCCAGCCTGCAACCCTGTCACAAAAAAAAAAAAAAAAAGAAAGAAAGAAAAAAAGAAAAATGAGTGGGAACTGAGGAAGTCTAAATAAAATTCTAAACAGCAAGTATAAACCTTTGTTTTTTCAATGAAGAGGAATCACTAGAGTGGACACAGGAGGATGGTGGAAATTGAAGACAGGTAAGAATAGAACACATTTATTGACGGAGAGGAGGGAGCTAGCAGAAAGTATGGTTAACAGAGAGAGAAAATAAGTGAAGACCCCAGTCCTTAAGGAAGGACTGTGAGGATGGGGCAAGAGGAGGGAAGGAAAAGCGTCACCTCTTCCACTGAGGGCTAGAAAGGAGGTGGAGACAAGTGCATAGGCATTTGCATGTCTGAGCAGGGCTTTGAAGAGGGTAAATGTCTAAAAGCCTCTAGCATCTCAGAAAAGTTGAAGATGAGGTTATATGCTACACTGGAGAGGAGTAGAGACAAGACTGGAAAATTTGAGTGCATGGCTTCAGGTCTGAAATAAACATTGGAAGGCGACAGAGAGGAAGTTGAACCAGTCTGTGTAGAAGGATGTGAGCACTGGGATTTCAAAGACGAGGTTTGTAGAGGCCCCAGTCTGCATCTTTATATGATTTCCTCCAGCATTTTTGTAACATTACATTGCATTTTGTAACATTGCTGAGCCCCTCTTTGAGTAATTGGCAGAAAAGGCTGAGTCCTCATAGAATTGTGTGCTATTTCTAAAACATATCCATGGTTTAAAAAGCTTTAAGATCTATAAACTAAAATCCACCCATTTTGCAGGATGATTCACAGTGTCGACAGTTTGGATCAATTTCCTGAAGAAAGGACAAAACTGGAAGCTATTCTTTATGTAAGTGAAATCTAGATTATCATTTTTCTTTGGGCTGAAACAACCATCCTTCATCTTCTACATTAAAATGCAGCTGAATTTGTAATTAGATCCCTGTCCAAAACTTGTATTCCCTTATTAAGAGAATTAATTGAGTTATCTCAGAAGAGAATATTGATTACATTGAGATTTGACTAATAAAAACTTCTCTCCAGAACTTATCTAAAGTGAGGTCTGGAACTAGGTCACCGTCACTCATGAGAAAGCCCTCAGAAACCAAGATAAGACAGAGAAGAAAGGGAATTCAGCACAAGGGTCAAGAAGCCAGGGCTGGGGGCATCCTTCAGTGGAGGAGAATAGCATTTGACAGCTGCCTCTAGAGAAAGTGGAAGATGTGCAGGGCTCGCAATGTTGGGCATGTTAACAGGGGGAGAAATCCGTGAAAAAGCTGTGAAAGGAAGTCTGTGCAACTGAATGAAGTGCTAAAACAGATGACTGATTTTAAAATTTAGGGGCTTGAGGGCAGAGTGTGCCTGTGGCTTTTTCTCTTTGTGCTAAGTGGTTTCCTGAGTGGACCCTGCCACAACTCACTATCACATCATGTTGAGGCTCTTCCTTTGTTTCTCCTTTCGTGTCAGTTTCCCTCATTTCTTCTGCACTGTAGCCCAAATAATAGACATCTCCATGCCTGCTCATTAATCCACAGGGCAAAGAAAAGAAGCATCTTTGAGGTGTTTGCATTTTAATGGGCTGTACACAGACAGGGTTCGCCTGCTTCTGATCCTGGAGGACTGAAGGAAGAGGAGGCTGGATCATATTTTCCCTTTCTTGTCTAATTTAACAAACCTGCTTGGCTACCAGCAAGAAGTTGACAGATTGCATACTGTCATCATTTAATCTAAAGACTAAAATTCAATTTTCCTTTCTCAGGATCAAAATTGGGAGCAGGGGGGAATAAAACACCCCAAAGACACAAGGTGACCTGTCTCAGTGGGGTGACCTAGTGCACCAGCCAGCTAATGATGCCCGTCTGTCAGCTGGGCCCCGGGTGCCAGAGCCCGAGGGAGAGGAGACCAACCCTGACAGATGGTGGCGGCTTTGCTGATTATAGAGCTCAGTTGGACCAAGGCTCTATTTTATTCCCTGCACCAAGGTCCCTTCTGAACATAGGCTGTTTACTTAAAACATATCCATTCCTGTTTCTGCTCATCATATTCTTAGGATAAAAATGCACATAGGCAGCTGTTGCATTTTTTGGTACTAAATATTCAATTCTGCTTTGTGTTAAGGAAATTTATAATCCATTTTACCCCATAATTATTCTTTATAAGTGAGAAATCAAATCTGAAGTGGCAACAGAGAGTGGACTCTAGGAAAAGAAATCCAAATAGGCATTGCCTTTGGTTATGCTATTTCTCTGCATGAGACATTCAGACTTTTATATTATCCCACTAAAAAAGGAAACAGCAACCAAATTTAGCAAGCTGGTGTTTTCAAGCACAAAAGAATGTCAGCCCAGGAGCTTGGTTCTTCCTTTGCCTTCTGCTTGAGAAATCTCAGCTCTCCTTCTCAGAGTAATTAAAAAGTGACTTTAGAATGTTATGCCCCCAAAGTCATTGAACTTCACATCCAGCCACATATAAACATTTAAGACTAGGGGGAACAAAAGCCCAGTAGTGCATGGACAGAAGGGTCATAAGGAGGAAAAGCAACACTGGAAAAATGATCCCAACCCTCTGCCACCCGAAACCTCAGGGAGGAAAAATGTCATTCCAGGCGGCAGCTGTGAATTACAACATGCCCAGGAACTTACTCGGGCACCTTCAGGCTGAGTATCATGCTGTTTGGAAAAGTGGCAGGGTGTTATATTTTCACACCCACCTGTTGCTTTATGACTTAGTAGGCAAGAAGTTGTGGAGGCTTCCCCAGCTACACAACACTGACTTATTTAGAGCTCCTGCCTGCAGTGGCTAACGAAGGTAGGACAATGGGGCAGGTGTCTCAGCAGACACAGATTCTGAACCAAGTTAAGTGGGTGACGTAAGGTATAAGCCATAGCCCCGTTATAAAGGCGAGGCTCTGTAACCTCATTGGCCAGCTATCTTGGTAGCTTCATATGGCTGCTTCTTTTTGGCATCTAGGAAACAGCCCTTCCATTTTTAAAGACTGCAGAAGGAAAGGCTTGAATAGAGGAAGAGGAGGCTATCCTCCAACTTCCTAATCATTATCCAGCACAGGCTTTGGTAGGTTACATATGCTCAACAAAATAGCATGGTTTAGAGAAGAGAACACTGAACAAAGACTCTAGAAATGAGTATTTTATTCTTAGCTCTGCCACTTTGGAAGAGTTACTTTTTATCTCTGCATTTCCATTTCTGCAACTGTAAAATAAGGGAATTATCTGCTATGCCCTGGGGTTGGCAAACCTTTTCTGATTCTTTGGTTTAAGAATAATGGGGGCCCCAATGAGCAGATCAGTAGTTTATCTTTAAGCACTATTGATTCATTTGAGCATAATGGGTCAGGAATCTGTAATTCTGGTGATCTTTCCATATTGGGAAACACTGAACTACATGTCTGCTAAGATGAGATGGTTCTGTATCTCCTGGGAGATCCTTCCTAAAGGAACTGCAGATAAAAGCCAATAGAGTGGAAATTCTTCTTATCTCTCAGCATCAATAGTACAACAGCGATCTAGCTAGCACTGTTCAATAGAACTTTCTGTGATGGTGGAAATGTCTAACATCTGCACTGTCCAATACTGCAGCCACTTTCTACACGTGATTATTGGTCACTTAAATTGTAGCTAATGGGGCTGAGGGACTGAATTTTAAAACTGTTTAATGTTAATTCATTTAAATGTAAAAGCACATACTTTCCCATTTTGGACAGCACAGATGCTACCATGTTTTGCTGCAAGAAGGTAACAAGTGTTCTGCTGTGGTCAAATGAAAAACAGGTCTTTATTTCCATTTTTACCTTCCTGGGCAGTATGGGGGAAAGGGCAAGGCTTTGTGACTCAGTTTCCTTTTCTCTCAAATTCAGATGGTAATATCTACTTCACAGTATTGTTCAGAAGATTTAAACTAGATATGTGAACACCTTTGAGAACCATAATATGACCAAAAGATGCAAGATATTATAAGGGGTTGAAAGTTGATTTTGTCTCAGTACAAACACAATGACGTCTGAGAACATACAACTAAATGTGGGTGGAGATTGGTAATGTCAGATGTGAAAGGTCGAAAATAAAGAGGGAAAACTACAAAGTAAATGTCAAAGGCAGAGTAGATGAAAAGGGAGAGTAATAAAAAAAAAGTCAAGACATGTGGCATAAGGTAGTGAGGAAGAGGGTGCAGTGGAGGTATCTGGTGGGAGGACATTTCAGGGTTGAGAATTGCTCATGATGAGAGGAGCATGGACAGGTGTCAATTTTGAGTGACAGTAAATGGGAAAACCATTAAGTTGAATTAGGACACTTAGTTTTCCATTTACCTGACTGCCTTAGAGAAAGGTATCTGGAGGGATTTGGACAGGAGCCAGATAGGCCAGAAGAATTTATGCTGTTCAACAGTAATGTGGATGGTTCAGTTTAGAAAGGCGATGACAGCACTGGATTATTTGGGGTGAGTCCATAAGCCTTCTTACATATAAAGGGCTCTGGAAAGGAAGCATATACTGTAGCAGAGATGAAGAAAGCCTTGTTTGACAAAGATGTCCTGAGATCCTATCAATCACAGAAAGTAGAACATCACTGTGAAGGCAGTCAGTTGGAAAAGGGTGATCTTGAACCTGGCTTGGCATAGTGTCCTACTCCTTAGAGTAGAGGGAATGAAAGATGCAATAGGAGACAAAATGAGTTAAAGAACATCCTGGGAGCTTTCTAGCACTTACAAAAATGGCAACTTGCCATCTACCTCATTGTCCTTTTCCTGTCCTACTACAAACTGAGAAGGATTAATGTTGGAGTCTGCCTGGGTTCAAATCCAAGCCCTACCATTTAATAGCTGTGGTAGCTTGTAATAGCTTGGGCTGGAAACAAACTCTCTAAGTCACATGTTCTTCATTATGGGGATATAATAGCACCTGCTCCAGAGAAGTAAGTAAAATAATTTATGTACAAATTAGCACAGCCCCTAGTCCACAGAAAACACTAAAAAATATGTTTATTAAATATAATATCTCAAACTTCCCAACATACCATTAAAATTGAATGTTTAACAGATACGAAACATTACAACTAGAAACACTACTTTCTATAGATCAATAGTTTTGAAAAATTTAGTCACATCAAACCAAGTATTGCTTTTATTCATTCACTAAATTCATTCATTTCCCTCGATTTTTAAAATTAGGGGACTGTTCCTTTGAATGTTTATCGAGGTATAATTTTTAAGTAGATTTAGGGGGTACAAATGTAGTTTTGTTACTTGAATATATTGCATAATGGTGTAGTCTGGGTTTTTAGGATAACCATCTCCCGAATAGTCTACATTGTGCCCATCAGGTGATTACTCATCCCTCACCCTGCTTCCACCCTCCCACATTTCTTGAGTCTTCACTGTCTATTATCCCAGTCTCTGTCTATGTATACACATTATTTACCTTCCACTTACAAGTGAGAGCAAATAGTATTTGACTTTGTTTCTGAGTTATTTCACTTAAGATAATGGCCTCCAGTTCCATTCATGTTGCTGCAAAAGACATGATTTCATTCTTTTTTATGGCTGAGTAGGATTCCATGGTATATGTGTACCACATTTTCTCCATCCAGTCATCCACTGATGGGCCTTTATGTTGATTCCATATCTTTGCCATTGTGAATCATGCTGTGATAAGCATACAAGTGCAGGTATCTTTTTGATATAATAATTTCTGTTCCTTTGGGTAGATACTCAGCAGTGGAGTTTATTGAAATATAATTTATATACCATAAACTTACCCGTTTAAACTGTATAATTCATTTAACTAATATTACTGAGTGCTGCCAAGTGTCAGGCCCTATCCTAGGCACTGGAAATATGGCAAATAAGACAGATGAGGTCCCTGCTTTCAAAGAGCTTCTGGTCTAGAGAGGAAGAGAGATCATAGACAGTATATAACCTAAGGGCTAAGAAGCAGTGATATAGTAGGTAAGACAATCATGTCAGGCTGTCCCATTTTAGATAGGATGGCCAGAAACATTCTCTTGGAGAAGGTGGCATTGAATAATATGTGGATGGGAGTCATATGAATGTCTCAGGGAAGAGTATTTCAGGCAGGGAATAGCAAGTGCAAAGGCCCTGGGACAGAAGCATGCCTGCTATACTCCTGTTTGAGGAAAATCTGGGAGGGCCATGTCACCAAAGTTTAATAGATAAGTAAAAACAAGAGAGGAAGAAATCAAGATAGAAAGGAAATGGGAGCAAGATCGTTAAGTCTAGGTTTCCAAAATAAGGCTTATGGATTTTGTTCTAGGTATGATGGAAAACCATTGGAGGGATTTGAGGAAGGAAAGGAAGCAATCAGTATATATATAATATACATAAAATATAAATAAAATGTATATAAAATATACATATATAAATTTATATATCTTATATATGTATATTTTTCTTGAGACAGTATTGCTCTGTCACTCAGGCTGGAGTGCAGTGGTGTAATCTCAGCTCACAGCAACCTCTGCCTCCCGGGGTCAAGTGATTCTCCTGCCTCAGCCTCCAGAGTTGCTGGGATTATAGGCACACACCACCACACCCAGCTAACCTTTTTTTGTATTTTCAGTAGAGACGAGGTCCCACCATTTGGGCCAGGCTGGTCTTAAACCCCTGATCTCAAGTGATCCACCCACCTTGGCCTCCCAAAGTGCTGGAGTTACAGGCATGAGCCACCATGCCTGGCCAGGTTTATATTTTAAAGAATCTCTCTAGCAATTGTTTGGAAAACAGATTCCAAGAGGCAAAAAGCAGGAAGAGGGAGACCAGTAACAGGCCAGGCAGTGGCCCAGGTGACAGACAGCAGAGGCTCAGACTAGCGGTGGAGTTGATGAGAAGGGGTGAGATCATGGGTATGTTTTCATGACAAGATTACCTGGAAACTCAATATGGGGTTTAAGAGAGGGGGTTCAAGGATGACTCCTAGGATATTGGCCTTAATCCTTGACTGGTGGGGCCCTCTGCTAAGATGTGGGATGCTAGAGGAACAGGCTTGGGGTGGGGTGTGAATCAAATGCTGTTTTGACCTTTTTATTTTATATGCTTATTAAAAGTTCAAGTGGAAATTACACAGGTGGTTCCTTGTATGTACTATGTTAGGAAACAAAGGCTTTGTGTTGGAGGATTTAAAAAAGAACAAGAAAACTTCCTAGAAGCCTAGATTAGCAGAGCTATAAGCTGCACCCCAAGTGTGTCCTATAGGCTCCTATATAACAGAAGAGCTGCAAAACCTCACACCTATGTGCTGAAAAACAGACTAGCCAATGAGTAAAGCAGAAAATACACGTGGAAAAAATTAGATTGTCCTATCTCTTTAATATGAAAGTTGGGGAGGGTTGTGTTAGAGTTCTAATGACCTGATTAATTGCTGAGGAAATAAACCTAGGTATCAGGTAGCTTGAAGGTAAGAATGGAGAAAGATCTGTTTATAAACAAATATCTCCATTTGTATTACTGCAAGAAAACAATCTAGTAGATTCACAGAATGCAGGCTGCAGGATTATTTTTCATTTATCACTGAGAAGCACTTCTTGAATTTTTATAGCCATCTTGTTACAGGATCCTAAGCAGGTTGGTATAACTGGCTGTGTTTTGAGAAGGATTAGGTATATTTCCATATTTGTTCATTTCTCAATTTAGTAGTTAAGTCTTCAAGACATTTATATTTCAGAGTATAATTTCAGTGGTTTTCAAGTTCTAGGAGTTTCTTTTTCTGGAGTGTTGGAGCTATAATTTTCTTGTCCCTTATCCATTTGAAGCTTCCATGAACCTAAACTGGAAGATCTGAGAAATACCTCCACTGAGAGACTGAGGTGAAATACACAATAGGATCTCAGAAATTCTTAACCATGTTTCTTATCATCGTGTGATGCAAGCCGTATTAAACAAGTAAGGGAACTCTACAGGATGCAGAATTACTTAACTGCATCTCATGGAAGAGTAGGGCGGGGTTAAGCTCCTGCCTTTTCATAATCATATAACTGAGGAAGTAACCATTGAGACTTCTACTTTATAAGTTAACCTAAAGACATTGTTCCAATCAATCAAGTATGTCCTGACCATATGCATTGGGTAAAGCATTAGTTGACATTGTTAAGAACGAAAGATAATTTGTTGTATAACCACTCTGCACACTCCTATGATCATAGAAGCTGGTGTTCAAACCAGCTTTAGAATAACATATGTATGACATTTATATGTCCTACTAAAATAGGATAGTGGATTGTAAATGATTATGCAGAGCAATCTATGGTTTTTACAGGAATAAAATAATTAGCCTTTCCTTTTTCCTTCTTAGCCAGTATATTTATCTGTCCAAAATATTTAACAAAGTAATAAAAATGTTCCATAACTCATTTCATTCATTAGACCTCAATATCTTGATCTTTAATTTCCAGAGAGTCTTCTGAGATAGATAAGATCCACTCTTCTCATTACTCTGCCTAGGAAATGTAATAGCATTATAGCATATTTGTGTAATACTTGAAGCACAAAGTAATTTTCTGCCATGTAGCCTGAAATTCCTGATCATTGTGCTCGGAGGAAAACACTGTAGTCAATATATATACATATATGTATAACATTTATATATATAACATTCGCCCTCACTTTATACATATATGAATAGATATGCAATATATATAAACACACATAATCAGTAGAGTTTTGTATAGATGTGTGTGTATATATCTACATAAATATAATCAGAATTTTGTGTAGATATATATATACACATAGACATACATAATCAGTAGAGTTTTGTGTGGAATAATTTCTTTAAATTGATTTATATAAATAGGACAGTTTTATAACTTGCATTTCACTCAACAATAGGACTGAGTTTTTTTATGTGATTACATATGAATGCTCTTCATCCTTTTATTTATTGCATAGCATTCCATATTTAGATGTGCCATAATTTGTTTCACAATTCTAGCCATAATGAACATTGTTTGATATTTTGTGATGAAAATGATCATTAAATGGATCTCTTTGTACAAGCTTCTCTATGCAAATGCACAAATACTTCTCGGGATAAATGTGTATAACTCATGTAAACACATGTACATGCACACACACAGGTCTTTAATCCATCAAGAATTTGTGTGTGTGTGTGAGTGGATAATCCATGAAGTGTCTGTTCATGTCCTTCGCCCACTTTTTGATGGGGTCGTTTGTATTTTTCTTGTAACCAACCCAAATGTCCAACAATGATAGACTGGATTAAGAAAATGTGGCACATATACACCATGGAATACTATGCAGCCATAAAAAATGATGAGTTCATGTCCTTTGTAGGGACGTGGATGAAATTGGAAATCATCATTCTCAGTAAACTATCGCAAGAACAAAAAACCAAACACCGCATATTCTCACTCATAGGTGGGAATTGAACAATGAGATCACATGGACACAGGAAGGGGAACATCACACTCTGGGGACTGTTGTGGGGTGGGGGGAGGGATAGCATTGGGAGATATACCTAATGCTAGATGACAAGTTAGTGGGTGCAGCGCACCAGCATGGCACATGTATACATATGTAACTAACCTGCACAATGTGCACATGTACCCTAAAACTTAAAGTATAATAATAAAAGAAAAAAAAAACTTAAAAAAAAAATGCATTTTCGAGGGAGGAGCCAAGATGGCCGAATAGGAACAGCTCCAGTCTACAGCTCCCAGCGTGAGCAACGCAGAAGACGGGTGATTTCTGCATTTCCATCTGAGGTACCAGGTTCATCTCACTAGGGAGTGCCAGACTGTGGGCACAGGTCAGTGGGTGCGCGCACCCTGCGCGAGCCGAAGCGGGGCGAGGCGTTGCCTCACTTGGGAAGCGCAAGGGGTCAGGGAGTTCCCTTTCCGAGTCAAAGAAAGGGGTGACGGACACACCTGGAAAATCGGGTCACTCCCACCCAAATATTGCACTTTTCGGACCAGCTTAAAAAACGGCGCACCCACGAGATTATATCCCGCACCTGGCTTGGAGGGTCCTACGCCCACAGAGTCTCGCTGATTGCTAGCACAGCAGTGTGAGATCAAACTGCCAGGCGGCAGTGAGGCTGGGGGAGGGGCGCCCACCATTGCCCAGGCTTGCTGAGGTAAACAAAGCAGCCAGGAAGCTCAAACTGGGCGGAGCCCACCACAGCTCAAGGAGGCCTGCCTGCCTCTGTAGGCTCCACCTCTGGGGGCAGGGCACAGACAAACAAAAAGACAGCAGTAACCTCTGCAGACTTAAATGTCCCTGTCTGACAGCTTTGAAGAGAGCAGTGGTTCTCCCAGCACGCAGCTGGAGATCTGAGAACGGGCAGACTGCCTCCTCAAGTGGATCCCTGACCCCTGACCCCCGAGCAGCCTAATTGGGAGGCACCCCCCAGCAGGGGCACACTGACACCTCACACGGCAGGGTATTCCAACAGACCTGCAGCTGAGGGTCCTGTCTGTTAGAAGGAAAACTAACAAAGAGAAAGGACATCCACACCAAAAACTCATCTGTACATCATCAAAGACCAAAAGTAGATAAAACCACAAAGATGGGGAAAAAACAGAACAGAAAAACTGGAAACTCTAAAATGCAGAGCACCTCTCCTCCTCCAAAGGAACGCAGTTCCTCACCAGCAATGGAACAAAGCTGGATGGAGAATGACTTTGAGGAGCTGAGAGAAGAAGGCTTCAGATGATCAAATTACTCTGAGCTACGGGAGGACATTCAAACCAAAGGCAAAGAAGTTGAAAACTTTGAAAATAATTTAGAAGAATGTATAACCAGAATAACCAATACAGAGAAGTGCTTAAAGGAGCTGATGGAGCTGAAAACCAAGGCTCGAGAACTACGTGAAGAATGCAGAAGCCTCAGGAGCCGATGCGATCAACTGGAAGAAAGGGTATCAGCAATGGAAGATGAAATGAATGAAATGAAGGGAGAAGGGAAGTTTAGAGAAAAAAGAATAAAAAGAAATGAGCAAAGCCTCCAAGAAATATGGGACTATGTGAAAAGACCAAATCTACGTCTCATTGGTGTACTTGAAAGTGATGGGGAGAATGGAACCAAGTTGGAAAACACTCTGCAGGATATTATCCAGGAGAACTTCCCCAATCTAGCAAGGCAGGCCAACGTTCAGATTCAGGAAATACAGAGAACGCCACAAAGATACTCCTCGAGAAGAGCAACTCCAAGACACATAATTGTCAGATTCACCAAAGTTGAAATGAAGGAAAAAATGTTAAGGGCAGCCAGAGAGAAATCGGGTTACCCTCAAAGGGAAGCCCATCAGACTAACAGCGGATCTCTCGGCAGAAACCCTACAAGCCAGAAGAGAGTGGGGGCCAATATTCAACATTCTTAAAGAAAAGAATTTTCAACCCAGAATTACATATCCAGCCAAACTAAGCTTCATAAGTGAAGGAGAAATAAAATACTTCACAGACAAGCAAATACTGAGAGATTTTGTCACCACCAGGCCTGCCCTAAAAGAGCTCCTGAAGGAAACACTAAACATGGAAAGGAACAACTGGTACCAGCTGCTGCAAAATCATGCCAAAATGTAAAGACCATCGAGACTAGGAAGAAACTGCATCAACTAACGAGCAAAATCACCAGCTAACATCATCATGACAGGATCAAATTCACACATAACAATATTAACTTTAAATGTAAATGGACTAAATACTCCAATTAAAAGACACAGACTGGCAAATTGGATAAAGAGTCAAGACCCATCAGTGTGCTGTATTCAGGAAACCCATCTCATGTGTAGAGACACACATAGGCTCAAAATAAAAGGATGGAGGAAGATCTACCAAGCAAATGGAAAACAAAAAAAGG
Organism: Homo sapiens; assembly: GCF_000001405.40. Taxonomy (NCBI): domain Eukaryota; kingdom Metazoa; phylum Chordata; class Mammalia; order Primates; family Hominidae; genus Homo; species Homo sapiens. The sequence continues at coordinate 67,902,402 of NC_000012.12, forward strand.
CAGGGGTTGCAATCCTAGTCTCTGATAAAACAGACTTTAAACCAACAAAGATCAAAAGAGACAAAGAAGGCCATCACATAATGGTAAAGGGATCAATTCAACAAGAAGAGCTAACTATCCTAAATATATATGCACCCAATACAGGAGCACCCAGATTCATAAAGCAAGTCCTGAGTGACCTACAAAGAGACTTAGACTCCCACACATTAATGATGGGAGATTTTAACACCCCACTGTCAACATTAGACAGATCAATGAGACAGAAAGTCAACAAGGATACCCAGGAACTGAACTCAGCTCTGCACCAAGCAGACCTAATAGACATCTACAGAACTCTCCACCCCAAATCAACAGAATATACATTTTTTTCAGCACCACACCACACCTATTCCAAAATTGACCACATACTTGGAAGTAAAGCTCTCCTCAGCAAATGTAAAAGAAGAGAAATTATAACAAACTATCTCTCAGACCACACTGCAATCAAACTAGAACTCAGGATTAAGAATCTCACTCAAAACCGCTCAACTACATGGAAACTGAACAACCTGCTCCTGAATGACTACTGGATACATAACAAAATGAAGGCAGAAATAAAGATGTTCTTTGAAACCAATGAGAACAAAGACACAACATACCAGAATCTCTGGGACGCATTCAAAGCAGTGTGTATAGGGTAATTTATAGCACTAAATGCCCAGAAGAGAAAGCAGGAAAGATCTAAAATTGACACCCTAACATCACAATTAAAAGAACTAGAAAAGCAAGAGCAAACACACTCTAAAGCTAGCAGACGGCAAGAAATAACTAAAATCAGAGCAGAACTGAAGGAAATAGAGACACAAAAAACCCTTCAAAAAATTAATGAATCCAGGAGCTGGTTTTTTGAAAGGATCAACAAAATTCATAGACCGCTAGCAAGACTAATAAAAAAAGAGAGAAGAATCAAATAGACACAATGAAAAATGATAAAGGGGATATCACCACTGATCCCACAGAAATACAAACTACCTTCAGAGAATACTACAAACACCTCTATGCAAATAAACTAGAAAATCTAGAAGAAATGGATAAATTCCTCGATACATACAGTCTCCCAAGACTAAACCAGGAAGAAGTTGAATCTCTGAATAGACCAATAACGGGAGCTGAAATTGTGGCAATAATCAATAGTTTACCAACCAAAAAGAGTCCAGGACCAGATGGATTCACAGCCGAATTCTACCAGAGGTACAAGGAGGAACTGGTACCATTCCTTCTGAAACTATTCCAATCAATAGAAAAAGAGGGAATCCTCCCTAACTCATTTTATGAGGCCAGCATCATTCTGATACCAAAGCCGGGCAAAGACACAACCAAAAAATAGAATTTTAGACCAATATCCTTGATGAACATTGATGCAAAAATCCTCAATAAAATACTGGCAAACCGAATCCAGCAGCACATCAAAAAGCTTATCCACCATGATCAAGTGGGCTTCATCCCTGGGATGCAAGGCTGGTTCAATATACGCAAATCAATAAATGTAATCCAGCATATAAACAGAGCCAAAGACAAAAACCACATGATTATCTCAATAGATGCAGAAAAAGCCTTTGACAAAATTCAACAACCCTTCATGCTAAAAACTCTCAATAAATTAGGTATTGATGGGACGTATTTCAAAATAATAAGAGCTATCTATGACAAACCCACAGCCAATATCATACTGAATGGGCAAAAACTGGAAGCATTCCCTTTGAAAACTGGCACAAGACAGGGATGCCCTCTCTCACCACTCCTATTCAACATAGTGTTGGAAGTTCTGGCCAGGGCAAATAGGCAGGAGAAGGAAATAAAGGGTATTCAATTAGGAAAAGAGGAAGTCAAATTGTCCCTCTTTGCAGATGACATGATTGTATATCTAGAAAACCCCATTGTCTCAGCCCAAAATCTCCTTAAGCTGATAAGCAACTTCAGCAAAGTCTCAGGATACAAAATCAATGTACAAAAATCACAAGCATTCTTATACACCAATAACAGACAAACAGAGAGCCAAATCATGAGTGAACTCCCATTCACAATTGCTTCAAAGAGAATAAGATACCTAGGAATCCAACTTACAAGGGATGTGAAGGACCTCTTCAAGGAGAACTACAAACCACTGCTCAAGGAAATAAAAGAGGATACAAACAAATGGAAGAACATTCCATGCTCATGGGTAGGAAGAATCAATATCGTGAAAATGGCCATACTGCCCAAGGTAATTTACAGATTCAATGCCATCCCCATCAAGCTACCAATGACTTTCTTCACAGAATTGGAAAAAACTACTTTCAAGTTCATGTGGAACCAAAAAAGAGCCTGCATGGCCAAGGCAATCCTAAGCCAAAAGAACAAAGCTGGAGGCATCACACTACCTGACTTCAAACTATACTACAAGGCTACAGTAACCAAAACAGCATGGTACTGGTACCAAAACAGAGATATAGATCAATGGAACAGAACAGAGCCCTCAGAAATAACGCCGCATATCTACAACTATCTGATCTTTGACAAACCTGAGAAAAACAAGCAATGGGGAAAGGATTCCCTATTTAATAAATGGTGCTGGGAAAACTGGCTAGCCATATGTAGAAAGCTGAAACTGGATCCCTTCCTTACACCTTACACAAAAATCAATTCAAGATGGATTAAAGACTTAAACGTTAGACCTAAAACCATAAAAACCCTAGAAGAAAACCTAGGCATTACCATTCAGGACATAGGCATGGGCAAGGACTTCATGTCTAAAACACCAAAAGCAATGGCAACAAAAGACAAAATTGACAAATGGGATCTAATTAAACTAAAGAGCTTCTGCACAGCCAAAGAAACTACCATCAGAGTGAACAGGCAACCTACAAAATGGGAAAAAATTTTCGCAACCTACTCATCTGACAAAGGGCTAATATCCAGAATCTACAATGAACTCAAACAAATTTACAAGAAAAAAACAAACAACCCCATCAAAAAGTGGGCAAAGGACATGAACAGACACTTCTCAAAAGAAGACATTTATGCAGCCAAAAAACACATGAAAAAATGCTCATCATCACTGGCCATCAGAGAAATGCAAATCAAAACCACAATTAGATACCATCTCACACCAGTTAGAATGGCAAGCATTAAAAAGTCAGGAAACAACAGGTGCTGGAGAGGATGTGGAGAAATAGGAACACTTTTACACTGTTGGTGGGACTGTAAACTAGTTCAACCATTGTGGAAGTCAGTGTGGCGATTCCTCAGGGATCTCGAACTAGAAATACCATTTGACCCAGCCATCCCATTACTGGGTATATACCCAAAGGACTATAAATCATGCTGCTATAAAGACACATGCACATGTATGTTTATTGTGGCATTATTCACAATAGCAAAGACTTGGAACCAACCCAAATGTCCAACAATGATAGACTGGATTAAGAAAATGTGGCACATATACACCATGGAATACTATGCAGCCATAAAAAATGATGAGTTCATGTCCTTTGTAGGGACATGGATGGAACTGGAAATCATCATTCTCAGTAAACTATCACAAGAACAAAAAATCAAACACCGCATATTCTCACTCATAGGTGGGAATTGATCAATGAGATCACATGGACACAGGAAGGGGAATATCACACTCTGGGGACTGTGGTGAGGTGGGGGGAGGGGGGAGGGATAGCACTGGGAGATATACCTAATGCTAGATGACGAGTTAGTGGGTGCAGCACACCAGCATGGCACATGTATACATATGTAACTAACCTGCACATTGTGCACATGTACCCTAAAACTTAAAGTATAATAAAAAAAATGCATTTTCTTTTTTAAAATTTATTTTATTCTTAAATTTTTAATTGACAAGTAAAAATTGTATATATTTATATTGTACAACTTGATGTTTGGTTATATGTATACATTGTAGAATGGCTAAATCAAACTAATATATGCATTACCTCACATACTTATTATTTGTGTGTATGTGTGGTGAGAACACTTAGAATCTACTTTCTTAGTAATTTTCAATTATACAATAATATTGTTATTAATTGTAGTCATCACCATGAACAATAGATTTTTTTTTGAGAGATCTCTTAAATGTATTCCTCCTAACTGAAATGTTTTGTCCTTTGTCCAACATCTCCCCAAACCCCCAGCCCCCAGCCTTTGGAAACCACCATTTTACTCTGTTTCTATGAGTTTTACTTTTTTACACTGCACATATGAGATCATGTGGTATTTGTCTTTCTGTGCCTGGCTTATTTAACATAATGTCCACCAGTTTCACCCATGTTGTCGCTAATGACAGGATTTTCCCTTTTTAAGGCTGAATAGTATTCTATTGTGTATATACCACATTTTCTCAAACAAGAGAGTGAAGAGACAACCTACAGCATGGGTAAATATACTGTATTTGTAAACCATAAATCCGATAAGGGGTTAATATCCAAAATATATAAAGAACTCAACTCAATAGAAAACAAATAACCCAATTTAAAAATGGGCAAAGGACCTGAATAGACATCTTTCAAAAGAAGACATGCAAATGGACAACAGGTATATTAAAAATATATATTCTAATGATTATCACTGGTGGGTGGAAAAGCTTTTTTTTGTATATTGATTGTGGATGCTGGCTATTTGATGAACTTCTTAAAGCTGTAATAGAATTTAAGCTAGTTGTCTTAGATTTTCAAGGTAGATGATCCTATCATCTGCCAATTCTTTTTTTCTTTCCATTAATTAAACCTCATTTCTGTTGCCCTATTTTGTTGGTGAGGGCCATCGGGATAGTGTTGAATATCATGAGAGTTAATATTGCTGTTTTAGATAAAACTGAATCTAATATTTCCTCATAAGTATGATGGTTTCTAAAGATGTTTGCTATAGCCACTCTATATTAAACCAAGGAATTTTTCTTATATTTCTAGTTCTTAAAAGGCTTTTATTTTCCTCTCTCCTATAAATGGGTTTTATATTTGTTTGAATTCTCTTTTTTTTTTTTTTCAGCTTTCTTGGTATAATTACCTGGTTTTCTTCATTTAATTCACTGAATTGCCTTCATAGATTTGCTAATGTTGGAGCATCTTTGCAAGAATTAATGTTGATTTATTTTAAATGTCCTGCTGAATTCAACGTACTGAGTTTTTTAAAATAGAATTTTTGCACTTATCTTTATGTTTTAAAACAAATGAAATTGTTTTCTGCCTCATGGCCTGTAGCCTGGTTAGTTCCTCAGCTAAATTTTTTTCCCTCTGTTCTTTGAATGCCTCACTCCTTCTATTTAGTTCTCAGATTGAAGGTCAACATTTTTGCTATCACTTCTTGATTTTACTGTTTAATATTTCCCCCACTGCAGTGTTCCCTTACATATTATTCTGTTTCATTTTCTTCAGGGCACACATCACTGTTTAAGCCATTTTATTTATTTGTTCACTCATTTATTGTCTGTCTTCTCCAAAAGAATGTAAGTTGCATGAGGGCAGCAAGTGTTCATTTAGTCTACCACGTTGACTTCAGTGTCTCCACATTGAAAACACCACGTACACTAGATGGCAGAAGTTCAGAGGCATGGGCTTGGGCTTTGGTGGTGAACTGTGTGGCCTTATGCAAGTTATTTAAACTCGCTAAGCTCCAACTCTATAATATATAAAAGGGGAATAATAGTAGTCACATGACACATCTCTGGAGGGATTAAAGGAGACAACATATTTTAACAAATTTCAAGAGCTAGGATAAATTAGCTGATCACTAAGTGTTAGTTTTCTTAACTCCCCCTTTTCCCTTAAGATTGTAATAAGATACCAGGAAAAAGGAAATAGCGCCTAGGAAAATGCTGTGTGCAATCAGGTATATATTCTGGCAGAGAATCTTTGTATGCAATTAGGCAGAGCACTCTGCCGCTATTATTACAGCTCAACACATTGGTTTGAAACAGCTTCACTTTTTACTGAGATAACATTTTCACATGGAAATTTCAGTGAATGTTAGCCTTCAATATCTGAGTTTCTAATTCTTTCAGCAGAGTTTATAATTTTCCAGAATGCCCCTTCTTTTAAGGTGTTAGTTACAATGTAGGCTATTTCATGAGCATTTTCTAACTCCAGCCTTTAAGACAGAATTGTAAAGCAAGAGATAGAATTCTGCAATAATTTACTGGTTGATTCCCAAATTTCAAACTTTAACATAGGTGTCAGAACAATAAGATGATTTATGATTATGACTGACAACACAGGTTGCTCTTATGCATGTATCTATTCAGGAGCCAGTTATATTTTTCTAGCTGAAAAATCATCTTTAAAGTTGTCTTGAGGGGTCTGAGTATCCCCCGATTGCCATGACACAGCAGCTGTTTTGCTCTCAGTTTCCTTGTTTCAGTTTTTCCATCCACTTATTGAGTTCCAGGTTGTATACCTGGTGCACACCCGCACCCAGGCAACTTACCCTGTAATTACTAGCAAATTACCTAAAAGTAAATAAAGAGCCTGAAGTATTGAGTTAAAAAAGGTAGCTCCACAAAGTGATATTACCATGACCCCTTTCTGGATTTGGCTCTTGATATCGCTGACAACTTTTTCTTGAAATTCTCCAAAGTATGTCACTCAGTTGACCAAATGGACAGCAGAATGCTTTAGGTGTTTTCATACTTTCCAGTGGCACAGCTATGCCTCATCCAATGGCAGTGGATATTCGCCAAAGTGTCACTCTTCACCAAAATGTGCAAAAACATAATAAAAAATAAAATGATGTAATCTCATTGGAATTTGTGCAGGCTAAACAACCGTGACTGTGCTAAACCACCTATATAAATCATATTTCAAAGCATAAACTGCACATTCTCTCAATTTAAAAGAGCTGAATCTGCATTAAAACCTCAAATGGTCCTGAATTGAGGCCTCATTAAATAGAAAATTCACCAACTAATGCAGGTCAAGAAACCAGTTTGCTTAGGCAACAAAACATTTGTGGCATTTCTCTCCTGTATGAATTCGTGCACGCTGGAAAAGGCAATGATTCTGGTTGAAGGCTTTCCCACATTCATTACTTTTATAAGGTTTCTCTCTGGTATGCATCTGACTTACATCATGGGAAAGCTAGTTTCATGACTCCTTTGGAATAGTTGTGGTCCTGAATATGGAAAATCAATTAATGAATAGCTTAAAGCACAATAGTCAACAAATAGATGTGAAAATTCTTTGTGAACTTTAAAGTCTTACTTAAACGTGAGATATTATATACAGTGTTTTATGTTAGACTGTGAGCTTGTTAAAGAAAGAACTATGCCTTCTTTTTCTTTCTACCAGTTCCAGTGCCTCGTACAACATAGAAACCATAAGTGTTTTTGAAAGAGCAAATGAATATTGGAAGGAGTAAGGTGATAGCTAAAGCTAAAACAATGTTTAGGGAGAACAACTGAAACAAAAGCAGCATTTGTGTCTTAAACTCATGGCCTCTGAAACAGCCTTGATAGATAGTAGAGAGGGTCAGATAGAGAGAGCCTGACTCAGAGATTGGGAAGCCCTATATGGTTGGAAGAGAAAGTAAGAGGAGACCCAAAGTATTAGACCACAGAAAGAAGTTCTAATAGTCAGTGTCAAGAGATTCAGCAGGAGGTTGTGTATCAGGATTTGGGTTTGGGAGTGGTATGGAGCTTACCTATCTCTAAAACGAGCAGGAGGGCAAAAATGAATCCCAGTCCCAAAGAATTCACTAATGGCCAGCAAACCAACACAGGAACCCCAGCACAGACACACAAGATAGGAAACCAGTTGTTGAAACTACAATGTAACGGGGCTGATTTAATAAAAACCTGTTACATGAGTTATAGGTTTTTTTTTTTTTTTTTTTTTTTTAATGTATGTGCCCCACCTTAGGAAAGCCAGAAATAATGGCAACGAAGAAATATTCATTCACAGTGAGAAAGCCATTAGAACGTTGGCTGGAACCTAGGGGCATATCGAGGGCCCACGTGGGAAGGACAATGACAACTTGTTTAGTCCTCACTGGTTTCCCAGTCTGTGGATCTTATTTGAATTATCCAAGTCATCCAGATAATGGGAAATAGAGAATGTGAATCTTCCATATTGTGGTATTATTAAAGAGCATTAAGTAACGAGCTGGTAGGTTCTTTACCTCTTATTCATGTATTACTCAGAAATGCCTCACTTTTCTGGAATTCCAAATCTCTCAGCAATCATATTCAAATGCCATCCCTTTTACTAACACACATATAAAGTGGTGATAGTTTTTTTTTTTTTTTTTTTTTTTCATTGAAACCTACACTTGGCCTCTGGAGACAACTGAACTTATTTATAGCAGTGCAGGGATTCATTTTTAAAATTACTTTCCCATGTCGTCTATGACACATAAAAAAGAAAGGCGTGCTCTGAGCCAATTGGGATAGGGATTATGTATGGCATATGTAGCAACTGCTCCTCTCTTCCTGTTTTGTACATGTGTCCAATAGAGGAAGAGCAGCTGCATCATTTGTCATTAAGTATTAGGCAAGTAAGGGCTTTGTCTGGGGAGAATGACACAGAATAAACATTTCCCACCTTGGAAATAAATGTCTCCTATTGGCTTCGATGTGTGTGTTGATAAACGATTTTCGATTGCCTAAGGATTTCTCTGCTAATGGGAGGCCATTACTTTCTACAACGTTCAACAACACTGATATTATCCCGCGATGCCAATGCATTTGTGCTCCGTGGCAGTCATGGAGACTGAAAGTGCCTGCGAAACCAATGTGTGACAGGTCACATTTGCAATGCCAGTGCACAGTTACCCTCTGCAGAGCTTTGCTCTCCTGGGATACTTCTATTCTTAACTATTCATCGGAATTTAATTACTAGCAGACTTTTCATCCTGAAAGTTGCCACCACCAGCTAATTTCAACAATACAAGAAGCCCCAGTGTCATCCAAGAAGGCCACCTTATACAAAGTACCTAAAATAGCTGCAAGGTTCTCAAGTGAGTATTCATAGTAAGAGAAAAGAGTGCACGCTGGCCAAGTTAGAAGTGGGATCCTGGAGCCAGCCTCTCATTCTTGGCAAACAACGCAAATGCAGCAGGCCTCTCTGTGATAGCAGCGTGGCAGCGAATGAACAGCTCCTTCTCTCCCTTTAGAAAATGTTTAGGGCCATCGTTACAGAACTCTTTTCAGGCTTCAAGTTTTAATGTTCTGGTGGGAGAAATGAAAGTATCATTTCCCAACACATTAGAAAATGCCTAAGGTACACAGATAGGATGGGCTACCTGTTTGCCTTATTTCGTATATCCAGCCAGATTGTCTACATATTGCCTTCTGAACATACCTTCTACTCTCTCCTTTCCAAATATCTGCTTCCTTTGATTTCTGCCAAATGAAATGTTTGCCCCACCACCCTGCCCTACGACCATCCTCTCTGATAAGCAAGGTACTCAAATAAACTATATCTTAACAAATAGTTACCCCTGTAGCATGATGTACTTTCAATTGGAGAGCAGAGACCAAGGAAGGAAAACGAGATTTCAGGAATCATGCACAACATAATGGACCAAAAGAAGACAATGGCAGAGAAGTGAAGGGAGAGATGCCAGAGGGCATCACTCAACAGTACTCTTACTGTTCTAGGGACACTGATAGATGGACCGCATGATGTACAACATAAGACAACAACAAGGTTATGTGGATAAATTCTATAGTAAAATACACTTAAGAAACAGTAGTCCAAATAATTAAAATACATTTATTTTCTGCAAGATTTCCCAGAGCCTGATGTGTGTTGTTATTCTCCAAGAAGTAGATACATTTGACCCAGGATTCCCCCTCCTCCCTTTTTGGTAATAACCTCTCTTAGAACTAATATTCCATGGCACACGGGTTTTAAAAGAGTTTCTCAGAAAAAAAGGAGAATTAAGCATATGATAGAAATGAAATGGTTTAAATCTCGGGATGACTGAAAAATATGTACATTCTACCCAGATAAATAAATATATATATATATATATATATATATATGAATCAAAAGTTGGGTAAAATATAAATTAAGTAGGATAATATATGAATAAAGGGATAGATTCTGTGTGATATCTCTGTCTTGACCTAAGGACAATGACATTGTTGCTGGTTTATAGGGTTTTGGGGGGTAGTAGGGCACCCAACTGAAGGTATTGTGCTCTTGCTTTTGAAAATATGTCAGTGAACTTTGTGCACTACAACATGGCTTATAAGTCCTTTATGATCTGCATCCCGTCTCATGCTACTTTCTCTCCTTACTCCCTTTGTTCTAGTCACCTTGACTACATGCAGGTTTTGAATAACTCTCTCATTTTGGTGCTATTGTGTTGCTGCATCCCTGTCTAGAACACACCTCCCAGCCTTTTTTCCTGGATAACTCCCAGTCATCATTCAAGTTTCAATGTAGATGTTTCTTTCTCCAGGAAGCTTCCCTACTCCCTCTGCCAATGAATCAAGTCCTGCCAGACCCCCACCAGGTGCTCCCATTGCCCCTGAATGCCCATCACATTCGATTACAGTTGCTGCTGTGCCTGTCCATATTCCCCACTAGATAGTAAGTTCAGGGAGGGGACTGATCTCAGTCATACTCTCAGCCCCCAACCTCATGGCACAATGAAGCCACCCCAAAACTGTTAATTATCAATTAATTAATCATCTAGTGCAACATCTCTGTCAAGTTACTCCAAGAAGATAGTGTGATGGAATGGGGCCCTAGCACCTCCCCCCAATACACACACAGTGACAAGAAGCTTAGCCCTGACAAGCTTATGCTAGCTTCTATCAAAGGACTTGAGGATTTTTTCTCTTTATTCTGCTTCTTGAGGTTCAAAGTCCTCCAACTGATTACAATTCAAAAGTGGGACTTTTAGGGTAAGGAGAAAGTTGTGATATAGGCAATGTACACAGAGGTTGACAGATTGACCAATTCATTCATCTACTAGCATGTAAGCTCCATGAGACCAAGAATGAAAGTCAGTCCATCTGCAGCAGTGTGTGAGCAGAGGAGTGGCAGGATAATGCTGGAGAAGGCAGGAGGAAACTGATCACACAGGGTCTTGTAGACTAGTAAGGATTTTTGTATGAAGTACCAGGACACAACTTTATTATACAGGGCTTTTAATGTTAAAGTTTTATAATGATCACTTTTCTCATTCTGTAATTCTTCCTTATTTCTATCACCAGCCCAAAAAGAGAAGCAATTCTTTCTTCTTCTTTTAGTGCTTCTGTTCATTACAGAAGCAAAAATATTCAGGCTATTTTTTTCTTTCCCTTGAATTAAGGCTGGAATATATGCAGGCATCTCTTAATATGTTATATCTCTATTCAGTCTCGTTTCTGATGCCCCCAACATACTCCATCAGAAAAATCAATCTGAACTTCAGCTGAGGACAGAGTTAAAGCTTTCCCTAGGATCATGTGTGGTTGGATTGGGGGTTGAAGGTAGGTGGTGGTTATTCCACATGCCAGGGCAAATGAACATGAGATCCAGCCCACTAAGAACTACCTCTATCATTATGTATCCAGGGTATTTCTAATAAAAAGAATGAGGAGAAGCTAGAGAAAGATAATTTTATCAAAAATCAGAAATTAGATAATTACCACAATTAAGCACTAAATTAATTCTGAGCTTATGATTACCCAAGGCAAAAGACAGTGTCATGGGATATTTCTGTCTAGCAGAAGGAAAGATATTAGTTTTTAAGGAGAGAATAACTTTTTTTTTTACAGGTTATAAAATCAAGGACAAATTACTTATATGGAATTTAATCATAGAGACTTAGAGAAATCCAATGGAAAATATGTTTTCTAAAATATTTCACATGTATTTCTCATGGCCATTTCTTATGCCAATTCTTGATTAAAAACAATTGAGATCGTGGCATATAATTGTGGTTACATTAGAACATTTTGATGAGGCACTGGACTTATATAATCCAAATATATTACAGTTATTACCCAGAATATTATCAGATAGATGGTTAGCATTTGCTTTGGCTATCCACAAATATGTCATTCATCTTAATCAATGTTTTAATAGAAAGCTAAGATTAGGATTTCTGAAAAGTATCTCCAGTACAGATAGTCCATTTTGCTTGAAAAGAGATCTGTAGGATTTTTAGATACCAAATGATTAATCATACCTGAAAATACAATACTTTGTTGCACCAACACACAATAATCTTCCTGAACAACAATCCCTCCCTAATGGCCATATATTCAGAGGTTCATGACAGTTCATATATTCTGTGGTCTCTGCTTCCAT